>NC_000002.12:51402473-51705503 GCF_000001405.40 Homo sapiens
TCTCAGCAAAGAAATGGATACTATAAAATATGAAAAATTGAAATTATAGAAATTTAAATATATATAATAGCCAAAATGATTTTTGAAACCCAATTTACTGAATGGGCTCATTAGAGAGTAGTTATGAGAGTAGAGTCACGGAACATGAGGGCAGATCAATAGAATTTACCCAGTCTGAACACAGAGAAAATAAACTGGAAAAAAAAGACTCGCACACTGGTGGAATAATAACAAAATATATAATATTCCTATCATTCACCATTAGAGTTCCAGAAGAAAAGAAAAGAGAGAGACTGCACATGTATTAAAAAGATTATGGCTAAAACTTTGAAAATTTGATGAAAGAAATAAACTAACAGATTCAGAATATGAGTAAACCCCACAACATATAAACCTAACGAAATCTTCACACAGGCCCATGATTAATAAATGTCTGAAAAGTAAATATTTTTAAAGATCTTGAAAACAGCCAGAGAGAAATGAACATTACTTATGTGAAGCCATGCAGGCCAGAAGGAAGGCGCACAGTTTTCCAAGTACTAAAAGAGTAGACTGACAGAATTGAAGAAGAATATCTAACTCATAGAATGAGCACAAATAAATTCATGTTGTCACACTCAATGAGCACAGAAATATATGGACTTCATTGTCATGAAAGTAAAATGTAAAACTCTGTATTAGTCTGTTCTTGCACTGCTGATAAAGACATGCCTGAAACTGGGTAATTTATAAAGAAAAAGAGGTTTAATTGACTCACAGTTCCACGTGGCTGGGGAGGCCTCACAATCATGGCAGAAGGTGAAAGGACATCTTACATAGTGGCAGACAAGGGAGAAGTGAGAACCAAGAGAACGGGGTTTCCCCTTATAAAACTGTCAGATCTTGTGAGGCTCATTCACTACCATATGAACAGTATAGGAGAAACTGACCCCATGATTCAATTGTCTCCCACTGGGTTCCTCCTGAAACACATGGAAATTATGGGAACTACAATTCAAGATGAGATTTGGGTGGGGACAAAGCCAAACCATATCATTTCTCCCTGGCCCCTACCAAATCTCATATCCTCACATTTCAAAACCAATCATGCCTTCCTAACAGTGCCCCAAAGACTTTAACTCATTTCAACATTAACTCAAAAGTCCACATTCAAAAGGCTCATCTAACACAAGGCAAGTCCCTTCTGCATATGAGCCTGTGAAATCAAAAGCAATTTAGTTACTTCCTAGATACAATAAGGGTATAGGAATAGATACATACGCCCATTCCAAATGAGAGAAATTGGCCAAAACAAAGGAACTACAGGCCCCAAGAAATTCTGAAATCTGGAGCGAGGGGAGCGGGGGCAGTCAAATGTGAAAGCTCCAAAATTATCTCTTTTGACACCGTGTGGCACATCCAGGTCATACTGATGCAAGAGGTAGGTTCCCATGGTCTTGGGCAGCTCTTCTCTTTGTATATTATGAGTTTGGACAAATACTAATGACATCTGTCAGTCATTATAGTATTATACAGAGAGTTTTCACTGCCATAATAATCCTCTGTGTTCCGCCTATTCATCAGTCCCCCAATCCCTGGTAATCACTAAACTTTTTGCTTTCTCCATCATTTTGCCTTTTTCAAAATGTCATATAGTTGGTATTGTACAGTATGTGACAATTTTTGATTGGTTCATATCACTTAGTAATATGTATCTAAGGTTCCTCCATGACTTTTCATGACTTGATAGTTCATTTCTTTTTGGTGCTGAGTAGTATTCTATTGTCTGGGTGTATCACAGTTTATTTATCCATTTACCTACTGAAGGACATTTTATTTGCTTCCAAATTTTGACAACTAAGACGAAAGCTGCTAAAAGCATCTGTGTGCAGCTTCTTGCATGAACATAAGTTGTCAACTTCTTTTGGTTAATACAAAAAAGCGAAATTGCTGGAACATATGGTACGAATATGTTTAGTTTGTCAAGAAATGTCTTGCCAAACTGTCTAACTGAGTATATGGTTTAAGATTCCCACTAGCAATGAATTAGAGTTCCTGTTGCTCCACATGCTCAACAGCATTTGGTGCTTCAGTCTTCCAGATTTTGGCCATTCTAGTAGGTGTGTAGCATTATGTCACTGTTATTTTAATTTGAATTTCCCTGGTGACATATGACGTGGAACATCTTTTTATATGAGTATTTTCCATCTGATATATATGTTCTTTTATGAAGTGTCATTTAAGGTCATTGGTCCATTTTTTAATTAGATTGTTTGCTTTCTTATTGTTGAGTTTTCAGAGTTCTTTGTATATTTTGGATAATAGTCCTTGATTAGGTGTGTCTTTTGAAAATATTTTTTCTATCAATATATGGCTTGTTGTATTCTGTCTACATTTTCTTTCACACAGAAGTTTTAAAATGTAATAAAGTCCAGTTTATCAATTATTTATTTCGTGGAGCATGCCTTTTTTGTTGTATCTAAGAAGCCATCACCATACTCAAGGTTATCTAGGTTTCATCCTATGTTATCTTCTAAGAGTTTTATAGTTTTGCCTTTTACATTCATATCTATGATCCATTTTAAGTTAATTTTTGAAAAGTGTTTAAAGTTTATGTCTAGATTCATTTTTTTTCATGTGGATGTCTAGTTGTTACAATACTATTTGTTGTAAAGAGTTTTTTGCTTTATTGTATTGCCTTTGCTCTCTTAATTATATTTATAGGGATCTATTTCTGCACTCTCTATTCTGTTACATTGATTTATTTGCCTGTTCTTCCGCCAATGCCACACTATCAAAATTATTACAGCTTTATCGTACATCTTGAAGAGAGACAGTGTCATCCTCCAGCTTTTTACTTCTCCTTCAATATGTGTTGCCTATTTTGTAGTTTTAGCTCTTCAAATAAACTCTAGAATAAGTTTGTTAAATGCAAAATATCTTAGATGGATTTTCATTTGGATTCCACTGAATCTATAGAGCAGGATAAGAAGAACTGACATCTTGACAATATTGAATCTTACAAGTCATAAACATGGAATATCTCTTTATTTAGTGCTTACTTGATTTCATTTGTCCATTTGTCGGAGTTTTCTAATTTCTTTTCATTTTATTTTATTTTTATTTTTTGAGACAGCGTCTGGCTCTGTGGCCTAGGCTGGAGTATGGTGCTGCGATTTCGGCTCACTACAACCTCTGCTTCCTGGGTTAAAGCAATTCTCCTGCCTCAGCCACCGGCGTAGCTGGGACTACAGGCACGTGCCACCACGCCTGGCAAATTTTTCATATTTTTAGTAAAGACCGCGTTTCACCGTGTTAGCCAGGATGGTCTCTATCTCCTGACCTCGTGATATGCCCACCTCGGCCTCCCAAAGTGCTGGGATTACAGGCATGAGCCACCGCGCCCGGCCCAGAATTTTCTAATTTCTATCAAATAGATCTTATATATATTTTATTAGAGGTTTTCTTAAGTGTTTTATTTTTTGGTTTGCTTATGTTTTCAATTTCAAATTGAACTTGGTCATTGCTGGTATATGGGAAAGCAACTGACTTTTGTGTATTAATCTTATATCCTGTAACCTTACTATAATCATGTATTCGGTCCAGAAGATTTTTTTTTGTCTATTTTTGAATGTTCTAAGATGATCATGCAATCTATAAACAAAGTTTTATTTCTTCCTTCCGATCTGTACACCTTCTATTGCCCATTATTGCCTTACTGTATTAGCTAGTATGTCTAACACAATGTTGAAAAGGAATAATGAGAGAAGACATCCTTAACTTCTTCCTGATCACAGTGGAAAACCTTTGAGTTTCTCACTATTAAATATGACGTTACCAGTAGTATTTTTGCAGATTTTAAAATATCAAGTTGAGGAAGCTCCCCTCTATTCCTAGTTTACTGAAGGTTTTTTTGTTGTGTTTTGTTTTTCATCATGATTCTGTGATGGATTTTTTCAAATACCTTTTCTGCATCTATTGATATAAGCATGTGTTTTTCCTTTGTAAGCCTGTTGACGTTGTGGATCGTATTAATTGATTGCTGAATATTGAACCAGCTTTGTATGCCTGGGATAAATCTCATTTGCTCATGGTGTGTAATTATTTTTATACATACTGAATTTTATTTGCTAATATTTTGTTGAGAATTTTTGCATCTATATTCATAAGAGAGATTGGTCTATAGTTTTTTTTCTTAGATTGTCTTTGGTTTTGGTATCAGGGTAATGTTGGCTGCATGGAATGAATTAGGGAGTATTTCCTCCATATTAACATGCCACGTAGGTTTGTAGTCTAGTGTGTAGCAGGCTATACCATCTTGGTTTGTATAGGTGTACTCTATGATGTTTGTACAATGACAAAATCGCTTAACAATGCATTTGTCAGAATGTATCCCCTTTGTTAAGTGATGCATGACTGTAGTTGAACTAATGTCTATTATATTTGTTACAGTTTTCCATTATTTCCCATTTTTATTTGTTCCTACTTTTGTGTTCCACTCTTTTTATGTATTTTGTGGTTTCAACTGAGTATTTTATATAATTTCATTTTTTCATTTATGAAGCATATCAGTTATAGTTCTTTTGTATTTTACTTTTTAAAGAGGTTTCCCTAGAGTTTGCAGTATCCACTTACAGCTAATTCAACTCCACTTTCGCATTAGACTATACTGCTTTATGAGTAATAGAATTATCTTATAACAAAATAATTATAGTTTCTCCCTTCTGTTCTTTGTATTATTGCTGGCATTCATTGTAACTACATATAATTACATAAGCACACACATACATATATATGCACAGGATATATACATAAACATACATAATTAAATGCATTCTTACTATCATTATTTTAAACAAACTCTTATCTGTTAGATCAATTAAGAATGAGAGAGTCAAACATTTTATTTTTACCTTATTCTCCCTTCAATCCTCTGTCATTCTTTATGTATTCTTTATGTATACTAACGTTCCCGAGCTATATTATTTTTCTTCTCTCTAAAAGTCTTCTTTTAGCACTTCTTTCAAGTCAGGTCAACCAGCAACAAGTTCCCTTGTTTTTGGAACAAGGAACTTTTCCCTGTAAAAGTTTCCCTGTAAAAGTCTGGATTTCTTCTTTTTGATGATAATTTTGCAGGGCACATATTTCTAGAGTGGTGAACATATTTCATCTATTCTCTTCTTGCTAATATGGTTTCTGAGAAGTGTAATGTAATTCTTCTTACTCCATAGGTGAGGTGTTTTTCCCCTGCTGGCTTCTTTCAGGGTTTTTCTCCACCTTTGATTTTTCTGTAGTTTGAAAATGATATGACTAAGTGTAGTGTCTTTGGCATTTATCTTGTTTTGTGTTCTCAGCTTCCTGGATCTGTAGTTTCATGTCTGACATTAACGTGGGTAAATTCTCAGTCATTGTTTTAAATATTCATTCTGTCCCTTTTTTTCTTATCCTTCTAGTATTCCTATTAAACTTGCATTATACCTTCTGTAGCTGTCCCACAGTGCTTGGATATTCTGTTTGTTTTTTCAGGCTTCCTTTTTTTTTTCCAGTTTTGGAGGTTTTATTGATATAACCTTAAGCTAGTAAGTCCTTCTTCAGCCATATTCCTTACACTAATACGTTCATAAAAGACATTCTTCATTTCTGTTACCGTTTTTGGTCTCTAGAATTTCATGTAGGTGCTTCTTAGGCTTTCCATCTCTGTGCTTACACTGATCATCTGTTCTTGCATGCTGTCCACTTTGTCCATTAGAGCCTTTAGCTATTAATCATAGTTGTTTCAAATTCCCAGACTAATAATCACAATATCACTGCCAGGTCTGGCTTTAATGCTTGCTCTGTCTTTTCAAATTGTGTTTTTTGCTTTCTAGTAATTTTTTTCTTGATAATCAGATACCATGCATTGGGTGAGAAAAACCACTATGAATTCAAAATGTAGAAGTAAGTTCTTGGGGGAGGGAAGCATTCTACAGTCTCTATGCTTAGGTTTCAGTCTTTTAGTGAGTTTATGCTTCTGGACTATACATTTTATTATACAATTATTTATTCAGTTTATTTTCTCTCCTTATGTGGGACTGAATGGCTAGAATGAGGTAGATTTGAGCACTTCCCTTCTCTTACATAAACAGCTGGAGCTAACCTGAGTTGGATATTTCCCTCCTTCAAGGTCTGTTAGGCTCTAATAAAATCCCAGCAAATTAGACTCTGATTAACTAGTTCTTTTCAATGAGAAACTATGTTTTAAGTCACCAGATTTGTGATAATTTGTCCTACAATACATCACAAATATAGTTAGTTTTCATACAAAGTTTAGATAGTCATAGATTTCCCCTCTTCAGAAAATAAAAGAAGAGCAGAATTCAACGTACTTCTTCAAAATGTGTGAGAGAGAAAGTAATAAAATTTTATAGACAGTATATCTGTTTGCTAGGAACTATTGTGTATTTTTAGTACACAGTAATGACTGTACAGCATGCAAAACTATCAAGCTTAATGTATATTCCAAAATCAAGCATGTAGAAGTCTTGTCGAATTTAGTTGCTGCCAATATCGTCCTTAGAAATAGTAGGTTGGCTTTGCAACTATATGTAGAAAATGGTTATAGTAAACAATTCCTCTCCGATGTTTGCCATGAAATTGAATCACGATATCAAAAATATGTCTAGTTTGCTGAGGTACAAATGGCTTACTGCTGAGACAGAAGGGAATGGAATTATATCAAAAAAGGGCTAAAGCTTGTAAGAAATGGATGAGAATGGGATAGAAAAAGCCCAGTGTCAGCAAGGAGATCATGATGTACAAGTTTGATTTGGGGAGATGTAAAGGAGAGATACCTTTAAGTTTTTTATATTTTTTATTTGCCTTGGGAAAGATATCTTTTAAGGAAACGATTTTGGAATCTGAATTCTTCTTACTTTGTCATATAAATAAAAATGCAGACAATTGAATATTTTGAATTTCTTTCTTTTCTGTTCTAAGGTACTTCTCAAATAAACAATTGTGTTTGTATCAACAGTTTATTAGAATATTGCTTTCAGCCATGATGTAGTAACGTAGACCAGGTTTGCCCTACAGCCCAGAGCAAGCAATAAGTCTGAAAAAATATTGGAAATCATGGTTTTAAAGACAGTGGACATCAAGCTACAATAGATAGTGATCTTAAAACATTGAAAGCAAAAGAGGAGAGCTCTAAAATTGCTCTAGCTTACTACACTGCATTCTCAATTTCTACCAAGGAGGAGGAAACAAGGCAAAATCCAGTGGACTCCCTATACTTACATTGCTTACTTTTTGTAGCATTTCTTAGATTGTTGTTTTTTTAATTTTCATACTTCTTCCAAAAGTACTATTATTGCATGACTTAGAATAACAAAACTGGTAAGTGGAATAATAGAAGGGCTAAAGATTTAATGCTAAAAGCTAATCAGCCCATACATGTTTATGGGATATTTCACATATGCTGGTTTCTGTGTTCCCTTGATTTTACATCTATGGACACTGGCACTGGACTGTGGTATCACTTTCTTCAGTTACACTACAGCCAAGGATTGTCCAAACATAATGGGTAAGTGAAGAGGAACGAGAAGATATGTTAATTTTTTTCCCAATGTATTCCTCAGTGGTATTTTTCCATCAGCCCCTGTTCCCTGGTGCAGCCTCAGCTGCTTCTGCTTTCCCCTCTGCACTCTTCTCTCTCCTGCCTCCTCAGAGTTCACAGGTCTTCTCTCTTCCCAAGGCATGTGCTACTGTTCTTGTTCTTGTCATTATTTTATGCCCTCATGTTAATATTCAAAAAGGTAAAATTATTACTTTTATGCAGATGTAAAAACAAAAAACCTTTTAAAGTTCTTATTCTACTGAGTAATTAATGAGGGATCCAAGGAAATGTTTTAGCTGGTTCAACAGAGAATCTCGTAAGCAAACACATTTAGAGATCAGTACTAATTCCATGAATATGCAAATGGAACAAAACTGTTTGTTTCTCATGGGAGTGAAGCCAAATGAACCTCCATTGTATAGGACAGGATTTGCTTGTCTATAGAAAAGAAATATTTTGCATCGTTATTGGATTATCTACAACTTAAAGAGTTCTAAATAGCCTCCATAAAATAGGAATCAGGCAACCCTGAAAGGGATCCTCTAGAGTTTTAAAAATTCAGTGAAGCACAAATATTATCCTGCTCTGGCTTTCTTATTTCCTTTTACAGTTGCTATAGGGTTAATCCCTGAAGAGAAAACCAGCAGCCCATGGTGAGTCACCGAGATGAATTGGATGTGAACTTCAGCAAATTTATCATTATTTCTCTTTTACTTATTTTCCGGCAACATTATGGAATAATTTCCTTAGAAACAAATGCAAAAATAAAAATAACATCATTTATCCAGTCTTCTAAGGGACTTGAAATTTATGTTCAGTAACAAATTTTAAAATGATAAACCAGATAATTTTCTTATAAATTTCACCTCTTTTTCCTTTAAAAAATGAAGCGCCAATATAATACACATTTTGGCACAATCTGATGATTTTGATTTCCATATTTTTGAATATCCTATGTTATGGCATTAAGATGTAAAAACTTTACATTTATGTTGGTATCAAGTAGGTATTGTCTTAGACTTGAAGATATTTTACATAAATAAGAATGATTGAATATTATACTGAATGCTGCAATATAAAAATGTATAATCAATCTGATATATCACATACTGAGTATCATCATTTGATCATTCAACAATATCATCATTTGATTATTCATCATTTTGTCCCTGGTTGATTTGATGGCTTTCATAGCTACACATGCGCACACACACACACAGAGATACATACATATGTATACACTTCTTTATATTTACTGATATATTTACATATATATATATCAGTCACAACTACTAATGATTTTATTCACTTGTTTGCACGTTTAAGTTTTAGTCATAATGTAAATTTATTCCCTTTATGAAGTATGCAAATTAAATCAGAATTTGCACATATGGAAAGAACTCATGTACCTAGAAACAGTAAATGTCACATGAGATTTTTAATACGAAGAACAAATACTACATAAATAATGTGGTATATTGATTATGAAAACTATTTTCTTGGAGCACAGTAGTTATTCTGGAATATTCCTTTGTCAGTTAGATCCTGGTAAATTGCTAGATTATTTTTTCCTGCAACCCCCCCTTCTCCATTCCCCATGCCCACTATTCCAAAACATGAGAATGATACAAGACCACATCATTGAGTGTGTTTTCTGTTTATCTTTACAGCTAGGTGAAAAAACAAACCTTAAACATGAAAAATAAACAAAATAAGCAGTGTTCATAAGTGATGTTCGGAGACCCTAATCCAAAGATAGCGCTGACTTGATTTTTTCTTATTTAAATGCAAATACTTTATCTTGCTGAAACATTCACTTTCCGTTTCAGTGGCAATTACTGACTGTGCACAGCTGTGCCCCACCCCTCAATTGTCAATAATGTACTATTTCAACCCTAGGAAAAAATTATTCTTTAACTGTTATAACCACACTATTTTTGAATGTATTAGCGTCATCCTCTTCCATGTCACAGGCTTCACTGCACTCCAATTCCAATTGGTTTTGTGACTGCTATGGTCAATTCTACTCAAGGCACCTGACCATAGCTAAGGTTTCCAAGACAGGGATTTCAGCTATGAACAGTTTCTTTCCATTTCAGGCTTCTCCTCCACTTGTTCAAAATCTGAGCTATCCTACCACATATCTTTAAGCTCTGTCAGTGTATTCATTAGTATTCTCAAGAAATACTAAGAAGTATGTGTTTCTCCTAGAAGTATGTATAACTTATATTTAGTATAAAACTCATTATATGACTGCTATTCTTGAAGAGAGAAGACTTTTACTTGGTAGGACTGGATTTTTCAGGAAAGTGTTCATGATATAGCTTTGATATATGTTCCACTAGAGTAGCCTTCTCAAGAACCAACTAATCCCCAGCTTCATTAGCTGATTAAAGGATGAAATCCACCTAGGGATTTAGAATCCTTTTTTGTAAGTTAATGGCCTGAAAGGATGGAAATACAGGGGAGAATAAAATGGTTTCTCTTCAAACTTAAAAAAAGAGAAGGTTTGAATTTGTTATTTTAATTAGGGCACCATTTGTGGCATGATGACGGCATTTATCATTATACAGAGAATTGATTCTCAGAAAAAAAACAAAAGGTTCCAGAGAGGCAACTGTGAATTAAAATTGATGATGGTGACAAAGATGATGATGATATAATGAATATCACATTACACAACATTTTACATGCCGTATGAAATTTATAGTGCTTTATTTCATTCTCACACATTTTCCTAGCGGCGTCAGGATAGGAGTATCTTAATGTAGCTTCCAGAGCCAGATGGTGTTGGTTTGACTCCTCAGTTCACAACTTCCTAGCTGAGTGACCTTGTAGGTTTTTTTTTTTTGATCATCCATAAAATGGAGACATTAATATTAAATAAGATAATGTGTATAAAGGACTCGGTACATTGTACATTTTTAATTTATTATTACCACCATCATACAAGTCAGAAAATTTAGAATTCAAAGCGTTAAATAGCATACTTGAAAGAGCCAGTATATGGTTTGATGGACTTCAATCCCAGGTGTTTATAATTTCAGTCCAGAGTGATTCTGAGTCAGAATGTTTAAATTTAATCCTGCCTTCCACCTACTAGCCATATGCTTTAGGAAACATTATAAAATCTGCTTGAGTCCCAACTGATGTCTTCAAAATCAGAGTGATAATAATATAAATATTTTAAGAGTTATCCTAAAATGTAAATGACCTGATATATATATCATATATATCATAGTATATATATCATATTTTATATATTATATATATGATGTGTGTGTGTGTGTGTGTGTGTATATATATATATATATGGCAAGAGAGATCTATGCACATAGAGACCACTCAATTAATGTTTAATACAATTATTATGTATTATACTTTGCAGTCTCTCTGATATTTTTGTGTAACTATTATTAAAATAATTTAATTTTATCAATATAAATTATATAAATTATATTCCTTTAATCAAGTTACCTTATTTTTACATTCAGATGCATGATCTGTTTTGAAATCATCTCTATTGCCATCTACTCTTATTGGATGCCAAGTTACTTCTAAAACTATTATAATGTTTTCTTGAATAGCACAGTCTATGGATATAACTTAGATTGCCTGATGCATGTTGATTCTTTTATGTGCATCCAAACATAAAACACTATCAAGATTAGGGCTGTGTTGACTTCAGATGGAGGGCTTATAAGTGTTTTGCTGTTTTACTTTAAACCAAACAGCCCTTCTAATGCTACCTTGAACTTAGAGGAATGGCTTTATTTCCAGACTAATTAATATGACTCCGTACCACCAGAATTGTTCAGTTTGAACTAAGTCAGGTAGTTCAAGTGATAACTTTGAAAGCCTCAAAGTATTTGTTAGTCTCTGTACAAATAAGTCAGTTGTTAGTCACCTACTGGTATTTAGAGTATTTTCAGAGTATGATGAGTCTCAACAGAAGAACACATGGCTCCTGGAATTGGTAACAATTTCCAAATTGTTGAGGAAACAGAGTCAGACATATTTATTTTTGTTTATTTTTTAGACACAGGGGAGAATAAACAGTTAATACTTTTTTTTAAACAGAAATAAAACTAAATTTAAGAGGCTGGTAGAGAAAGGATGCAGAGGGAAGAAAAAGGGGAAATTAGTGATTTGAGTGAGGCAGAAATATTTGAGAATATAAACTTCCAAAGCCAAAAGCATGTAGATGGAAAGAAGAAGAAAAGAAATTTTTCAAAATGAAAACACACAAAGGAACAATAAGCATGCATAGATGGAAAGACAAAATATTGACTTCCGTTATTCAAACCAAACATCCCACTGAAAACAATGAAATATGCTAAAGTGTGTGTGTGTGTGGTGTGTTAGCTTGCAAAATGACCTGATTCCTTCAACTCTTCTTATATCCACAACTTTTCATACACATGTACAGCTTCTTATATTAAAACATAGAGTCTATTTCCCCTGTCCTGCTTGTAAGACTTGCTTTGGCAATACAATGCCACCAAAGCTGTGGTGTGTCAATTCCACACCAAAACCTCAAGATGCCTTATGCACTTCATCGTTTGCAGAACACTGCCATTGAGAATGAACATTTGAACAATACCTGACTAGCCTGTTGGATGATATGAAACTATGAGAATTAGATCTGAGAACACTAATTTATCCCAATAGAGGCACCAGGCATGTGGGAGACCCTAGCTAATATCAGCAAAGACAATTCACAGCTCACACACTGTCTGACTGCAGTTGTATGATCAAAGGCATCCTAGACCAGTGGGGTACAAGTGACCGAAGATTCATGAGCTAATTGGATATTTCTCCCTCCCTCCCTCTCTCTCTCTCTCTCTCTCTAGATAGATAGATAGATAGATAGATAGATAGATAGATAAAATGTGTGTGTATATATATAGAGAGATATATATAGTATATATAGATCTATAAATATATATATATATATAATTTCTCTCAAATATCTATGAATGTTGGCCAATTTTTATAAAAAATTCTGAACCCAGAGACATAAATTGATGACCAAAACAGAGAGCCTATTTCTACTGTGAAGATGTTTGCTGGTATCACCTCAGTTTTGGTTTCACATCTTTAGTATGCCAGGGTCCCTCATATAATGGAACCCCAAAGCCCACTGAAGAGTATTCATATAAGATATTCTCTTCATTGATCAGAGGGCTCAAATAGCTACAATCTCAATATAGATATACATGATCCATATTAACTAATTATAGCATCTCAGTGTAGATGTATGAATGAAGTAGAACTAAATGTGTAGCCCTAAATATGTATCCCTCCCACTTGCCCTCCCTAAACTCAAGGTGTTACAGAGAAGGATGTCTTAACTTGTCCTTGTGTGTAGATGCTCCCCAAGCATGAATAGCTTAGGCAAGTTTAAGCATTTTCAGCTAAAACTTAAGACCTTGTTGCCTGAGAGTGCCGACAGGCACGTTGTGGAACTAATATGAAGTATCTCTGAAGGAAAGCACATCATTGTAAGCATTCGGAAATACCTATACATAGTATCTTAAGGACAATATGCAGAAAATGGTCAGAATAAAAAGGAAGGAAGACAGGAAGGAAGAGAAAAACAAAGCAAAATGAGGAAGAAACAATAAATATAAGAGACAGCATAAGTAGACTCATACATAACTATCTCAGATGCTATAATTAGTTAATATGGATCATGCTTAATTGGTTTAAATAAATAAGTAATGAGCTTGAAATTAACTGTAAGGAAAAGGTAATTATAAAATGTGGCACATTCAAGTTCTAAAAGGACCAAAGAAATATTCTAAAAATAGAAAATGAAATAACCAAATTTAGACATCAGGAAACACAATGAACATATTTGTCAGTATATTGGACAAAATTGAAGAGAGAATATAAATCGAAAGATGAATCAGAAATTATTCATAAAGAGCATAGAGAGGTAAAGAAAGAAAATACAGAAGAGTGTATAAGAAATACAAAGTGTACAATAAGAATGTATACAACATATTGGATTGTAGTCTTGGGTTTGGTGAGGGAGAGAAAGATGTAAAGACTTTATTTAAAAAGATTATGGCAGAAAATTTCTATTAATGATGAAACAAAAATCCAAGATTTATAGATTCTCAGAGGCTCCTGAGGATGATAAAGAAGGAAAAGGAAGGGAAGGAAGAAGAAGATGAAGGAGAAAAAGAAAAGAGAAAGAGGCAGTGAATTGAAGTAAGGACAAAAAGCATTAATGTGTTTTTTTTAAAACTGAAAAAAAATTAAATAAACTGAAAAAAATTTTTTTAAACAGAAAAAAATTAAATTAAAAATCTTTAAAAAAATTAAATAAAAAAATCTTAAAAAAATAATATGAAAGGAATAGCAGCTAGACTAAAAGCATCCTTTTAAATAGCAACCTAAAAAGCTAAAGGTGATAGAAGATATCTTCAATGAGCCGAACTAAAATAATAGCCAACTTACACTTTCATATACTGGAAATATTTTTCAAGAATGAGAGAAAAGCAAACATGTTTCAGAAAAAAAAATGTTTACCACCAACAGATATCCACTAATGGAAATGCTAAAGGAAGAAAAAGAAAGTAAAAAGTAATGGAAAATCTGAAATGGAAAAATAAAACAGACAAGAAAAAATTTAAATGTTGACAATTTTTTTAAAAAAAAATTCTAAGTTAAACAGTGTTGGGGATCAGAAAACAATACTCCAAAATGAAGCCCCCAGGAGCAGCCTCAGAAGCAAAACACTGTTTCTTACTCTCTCCTACCCTCTTGTCTCAGGCCCTCATTCTCATTAAAGGCTAGCCATAGAAACTAGAATTCCTCTTCCCCAAGGCAGGTGATAAAAATCAGAACCCCTTTTTTCCCAAGCCAGCCATAAAGCCTGAAAAATATTATACTAAGTTCCCTTCCAACTTTCTGTATGGAAACTGGCCATAAAGAAATTATCTGACCTACCTTGTTTGATTGTAAGTCATAAGACACCCCCCATTCCAGAAAGGGTCCTGCCCTATATGCAGAAAAAAAAAGTGCTGCACACAGAGGCCAAAAGAGAATCTAAACAGAGAGTCTTGGCTGGATTTCCCCACTCAGTCTATGAGCACCAGCTCATACTCTTTTTGTACGAGACCAGTGGGGTCCAAGTGACCGAAAATTCATGAAAATTCATATTTCTACATGCTGTCTGAATTTTGTTGAGCCTGAGCATAAAAATGGACAATATCCCCTGTGTGTTTGGGTCTTCATTCTGAAGGCTCCTGAGTCACATAAAACTGGTCAAATACATTTGTATGCCCTTTTTCCTTTATTAATTTGCCTTTTGTAAATGATCTTCAGTGTCACTTCAGAGGGTGAAGAGGAAGTGTCCCTTGGTTCCTACAACAGAAATACTCATACACAGTATTTTAAAAATCAAGTATGAATTAAAATGAGAAATGTTAAAATATTAGTCAAAATTGGTATAATTGAAAATCAAATGTTTTAAAGTATTTTCAGTTTAAGAGAGAAAAAATAAAAATTATATTTAACTTTAAAGTTTCACTGAGTGCTTTCTAGATAAATGCTGAAAGAATGAGAATTTAATATTTTAAAACCATTAAGAGAGTGGAAATGAAATTATTAAAAACATAGTAATTATAAAAATGATAAAGGGACATACAATTTATGCAATAAATACATAGGACAAAATAAGATTTTAGATTTTTCTAGAATGTAAGTATTTACATTAAGTAAAAAGAAAAGGATTACATGCTTCAGTTGAAGGATAACAGCTTGAGGAAATAAGCTCAACTATATGCTGTTTATAAGAAACATCAAAAACCTAAAGATACAGATGAATTGAAAGTAAAAGGATGGTGAAAAACATAGTATAAAAATGTTATAAAAATTGATACCACCATATTAATACTGACAAGTTAGATTTTGACAATGTATGACAGATGTTGCTACAAATATAGAAATTGATTTCATGACAAAGGCTTAGCAAGCAAAAATACCATTTTAAAATGCATAGACTAAAAGCATAGATTCAAATAGCATACTCAAAAATGTAAAGTGAAAATTGATAGTAAAAAGGAAAACAAGTCACATATACAAATATAGTGTGTATATTTTCACATATATATCTAGGAAATAAATTAAGAAACAAAGAATTGTCTCAGCCCAAAATCTCCTTAAGCTGATAAGCAACTTCAGCAAAGTCTCAGGATACAAAATCAATGTGCAAAAATCACAAGCATTCTTATACACCAATAACAGACAGAGAGCCAAATCATGAGTGAACTCCCATTCACAATTGCTTCAAAGAGAATAAAATACTTAGGAATCCAACTTACAAGGGACATGAAGGACCTCTTCAAGGAGAACTACAAACCACTGCTCAATGAAATAAAAGAGGATACAAACAAATGGAAGAACATTCCATGCTCATGGGTAGGAAGAATCAATATCGTGAAAATGGCCATACTGCCCAAGGTAATTTATAGATTCAATGCCATCCCCATCAAGCCACCAATGACTTACTTCACAGAATTGGAAAAAACTACTTTAAAGTTCATATGGAACCAAAAAAGAGCCCGCATCACCAAGTCAATCCTAAGCCAAAAGAACAAAGCTGGAGGCATCACACTATCTGACTTCAAACTATACTACAAGGCTGCAGTAACCAAAACAGCATGGTACTGGTACCAAAACAGAGATATAGACCAATGGAACAGAACAGAGCCCTCAGAAATAACGCCACATATCTACAACTATCTGATCTTTGACAAACCTGAGAAAAACAAGCAATGGGGAAAGGATTCCCTATTTAATAAATGGTGCTGGGAAAACTGGCTAGCCATATGTAGAAAGCTGAAACTGGATCCCTTGCTTACACCTTATACAAAAATCAATTCAAGATGGATTAAAGACTTAAACATTAGACCTAAAACCATAAAAAACCTAGAAGAAAACCTAGGCATTACCATTCAGGACATAGGCATGGGCAAGGACTTCATGTCTAAAACACCAAAAGCAATGGCAACAAAAGCCAAAATTGACAAATGGGATCTAATTAAACTAAAGAGCTTCTGCACAGCAAAGGAAACTACGATCAGAGTAAAAAGGCAACCTACAAAATGGGGGAAAATTTTCGCAACCTACTCATCTGACAAAGGGCTAATATCCAGAATCTATAATGAACTCAAATAAATTTACAAGAGAAAAACAAACAACCCCATCAAAAAGTGGGCAAAGGACAGCAACAGACACTTCTCAAAAGAAGACATTTATGCAGCCAAAACACACATGAAAAAATGCTCATCATCACTGGCCATCAGAGAAATGCAAATCAAAACCACAATGAGATACCATCTCACACCAGTTAGAATGGTGATCATTAAAAAGTCAGGAAGCAACAGGTGCTGGAGAGGATGTGGAGAAATAGGAACACTTTTACACTGTTGGTGGGAATGTAAACTAGTTCAACCATTGTGGAAGTCAGTGTGGCGTTTCCTCAGGGATCTAGAACTAGAAATACCATTTGACCCAGTCATCCCATTACTGGGTATATACCCAAAGGACTATAAATCATGCTGCTATAAAGACACATGCACACGTATGTTTATTGATTCACTATTCAGAATAGCAAAGACTTGGAACCAACCCAAATATCCAACAACGACAGACTGGATTAAGAAAATGTGGCACATATACACCATGGAATACTATGCAGCCATAAAAAATGATGAGTTCGTGTCCTTTGTAGGGACATGGATGAAGCTGGAAACCATCATTCTCAGCAAACTATCGCAAGGACAAAAAACCAAACACCGCATGTTCTCACTCATAGGTGGAAATTGAACAATGAGAACACATGGACACAGGAAGGGGAACATCACACTCTGGGGACTGTTGTGGGGTGGGGGGAGGGGGGAGGGATAGCATTAGGAGATATACCTAATGCTAAATGATGAGTTAATGGGTGCAGCACACCAGCATGGCACATGTATACATATGTAACTAACCTGCACATTGTGCACATGTACCCTAAAACTTAAAGTATAATAATAATAATAATAAAGAAACAAAGAATTAGTGAGGAGCTATGAAACACAAACAACACATTTAACAATCAAGACCTAATGGACATATGTTGAACATTTAACAACTACTGCAGTGTACACATTATTTTCAGTTGGAAACATTTATAGAAATTAACCATTTACTGATCTATAAATAAGTGAAATTCAGCAAAAGGAAAGAGCAAACTTTTATGTAGTGCCTTTATGTTTATTTAAGCACAAAAACTTTCAAAAAAAATCTTTCTCAAATTTCTGAGAAACTGTTAATATTGCATTTTCTTTAAAGAAGCTATTCATTAGATCTGCTTTATTGGGCCTTTATTACTGTGTTTTATTTTAATTTTTCTTTTCTATTCAAATGCTATTTGCATATCTGTCACAATGTGTGGCATCATTCTAAGGCAGAAATGTGAAGACAGCTGAAAGTAATCACTGATTAAGAAAGATGCTGTCACAAAAATTTTCACTTTTATATCATTTTGGAAAAATCACCCATGAAGCCAGGCAGACGTGAGTCTGAGTAATGGCTGTGTTGCTTGCTAATCTCTATCATTTGACAAGCGTCTTTTATCTCACTGAGCTTCCTTCCCAACGTTATCTATGAAATTTAGATAACAATGTCTCTCTTCTTCCCTCCACCCCCAAGCATTAGGTCAGTAATATACCTCACATAGCTTCTTGCCAAGAGTATATACAGTTGAATAACATGGGTTTGAACTGTGTGGGGTGCACTTACATGCAGATTTTTTTCTTTTCAACCAAACTTGGATGAAAAATACAGTATTTGGCTAGGTGCAGTGGCTTGACCTTATTTTCCCAGAAATTCAGGAGATTAAGGAGGGAGGATTGCTTCAGGCCATGAGCTGGGGACTAGCCTGGGCAACTTAGGAAGACCCCCATCTCTAAAAAAGTAAAAAAGAAAATTACTCCTGCTGGTGGCATGTGCCTGTGGTCCCAGTTACTTGGGTGGCTGCGGAGGGAGGATTGCTTGAGCCTAAAATATCTGAGGGGGCAGTGAGCTATTATCATGCCACTGCACTCCACCCTGGGCAACAAAGCACGAACCCTTCTCTAAAAAAAAAAATACAGCATTAGTGGAATGCAAAACCTGTGTACAATGAGGGGCCAAATTTTCATACACACAGATTCACAGGATTGACCGGAGAACTTGAGTATGCACGGATTTTGGTACATGTGAAGGTCTTGAAACTTCTCTGGCACATACCAAGGGACATTATATGTTTGTGATGTATAGTAGCTATTTACTATTAATATTGTGAGACCTCTAGGTTAGCTATTACTATTAGTAGCTATTAGTGATGATAGCTATTACTGTTAGTATTGTGATACCTCTCCATGGGTCTTAAACACAACATTTTATTTTAAACATAAAATAGGATACATTTTATTAAACATAAATTTAGTATCAACTTGAAATCTGAAAGAACAAAGTACTTTTAAATCAACTCTGAAAACCAAAAGTTCAGATGGAAAAACTGACTCCCAAAGGCAATGTCAAAGATTTTCTATCTCTTAGGTCATTAAAAAATAGTCTTTTTAAGACATTATAGTCAACAGAGTGTGGTGTGATTCTGGGTTGTCAAGGCAATGAACAAGATAACCTAAACGGCTTTTCCATCTTTAAAACTTCTATGATCTTCATTTACAAGAAGACTTTTTTCTTCCTCTATTTTTCTTCATTACCATTTTCATTTATCAGATTTCAGTGAGAATGGACAACTTTAAATTTCTATAACTCATCTATTCAATCATATACCTTCAAATGTCAGTTATTTTTTATGGTATTTTTCAAAGGAGTTGGTTCACTACTCACCTCTCAAATGCGTGCAGAATCAGAGAAGAAAATTTGGTTGCTTATAATAACAACTACATCTCACAATTGCCTCCTATTAATGGCATATCTGTGGATTCAGTTGCACATTTAGTTTCCTCCAGTCTATGTAGGAGAATCATCCTGTGACCTTTTTTAGTAAGATATTTAACATCATCCTCATCCATTACCATCAAGCTTTGGAAAATTCTTACTGAATAGATTTTAGATTAATGTTATACAAAGTTATGTTACCTCCTATATTCCCAAGGTCTACCATCTATAAAAAATATCTTGATACAGAAGCAATTGACTAAGCATATAAGATGTCAACAAGATTAGCATTTCCCAGAATTCTACTAAACCTCAGAAAACATAGCAAACTCCGGATGAGTAAAAACATAGATAAAATAAACACATTATGTGTAGGTTAAGGTTAGAAGCATTAGTGGGAATCATGCCTTAGGAAGAGTTGGGAGAATTTTAGTTTTTTATTGTGTGAGTGTGGGCAAGTTATTTCTTCTGCTCAATTACCTCTTTGGGATAGTTGTGACCAGTTTTGTCTGGCTCTACATCCTTTTCATTTATGGTGTTTAAAGTAGCATTTGGATGGAATAAAACTTAAGTCTAATTTTAAGAAAAAGCCCCAATACATTTTTTTGACTTTGCAGATAAATTGCAGATAACATTGGTATCATCCACCCATATTATATAGATCAGGAAAAAGAGAAAAACCCATGACATTTGCTAAGTAATCACAATTCATATTTGAAAATTCAAACATGATAAGTACCATAAACATGACAAACCACCTAGAATATACCCCATGTAAAAAAAGGATGTAAAGCTAATGACACTATATTACACAATATACACACTCTGTCTCTCTCTCTATGTAATATTGGACATATGTATTATACTGTATATATGTGTGGCATTATACAATACTATAAACCCAAATCTGTCTGTAAATTGCTATATTTCTTTGGAAAAATCTTGAAGGTGTTTCTGTATTTAAACTTTTATACTTATTGATAACCTGTATAAAATTATTAAGGCTTCACAATAGACAATTACTTTAAAAAGATAATTTCTAAAACATTTATATGTTTAAAGTAAACCTTAAAAGTTTGTAGTTTTAAGAATTTTATTATTACAAGCTAGCTAGATTGTTAAATGTTTCTCTGAAAGAAAACCTTATCAAGATCATGACATTCGACAATAGAAAATAAATCAGGTAAGTTGTCTAAGTTTCTCAGACTCTTAATTCATCTTCTTAAGTCATTGTCTAAAACTCCCTAAACAGTAATGCAGAATATTAAATTATTAGTTCATGAGCTTATTCATCTAATTTTAACAGTGTTTGATAAATCAAAGGATATTTGATTTCCTTAACCACAAACTTTCTACAAAACCAAGTTCATTAAACAATACGTCCAAGCAGGAGACAATTGATATTTGGGCCCTCTAGATCTATATAATTGAAGAGACCTGCTTTAAGAGAATGAATACAAAGCAACAATATGCCAATAAACTGGAAAATTAGAAGAAATTCACAAATTCCTAGACAATGTTTGATAAACCAAAGTGTAAACACATACAACCTACCAAGATTGAACCAGGAAGAAATACAAAACCTGAACAGACCAATAACAATTAACGAGATCAAAGCCATAACAAAATTCTCCCAGTTAAGAAAAGCCTGAAACTTGATGGCTTCACTGCTGAATTCTACCAAACATTTAAAGAAGAACTAATACCAATCATACTGAAACTAATCTGAAAAATAGAAGAGGAGGGAATATTTCCAATGCATTCTCTGAGTCCAGTATTACCCTAATACCAAAGCACACATTATTGCAGATTAAAAAAGAAAACTACAGGCCAATATCTCAGATGCATATTGATGCAAAACCTCAATAAAATACTAGCAAAGCAAATTTGACAATTCATTATAAAGATTATTCATCATGACAAAGTGGGATTTATCCCAGGGATGCAAGTATGGTTCATATGCAAATTAATCACTGTGATACATCCTATCAACAGAATGAAGGAAGAAAACCATAACATCATTTCAATTGATGCTGAAAAGCATTTGATAAAATTCAACATAACTTCATGATAAAAACTCTAAAAAATCTGGGTATAGAAGGAACATAATTTATCATAATAAAAGCCATATGTGATAGACCCGCAGCTGGTATCAAACTGAATGAGGGGAAACTGAAAGCCTTTCCTCTGAGATCTAGAACATAACGAGAATGCCCACTTTCACCGCTATTATTCAACATAGTACTGAAAGTCCTAGCAAGAGGAATCACACAAGAGAAAAAAATAAAGGGCATTCAAATTGAAAATAAATAACTCAAATTACCCTTGTTTGCAGATAATATGACCTTATATTTGGAAAAACCTGAAGACTCCAGAAAAAAAGTGAAACTATTAGAACTAATAAATACAGTAAAGTTGGAACATACAAAATCAACATATAAAAATCATTAGCATTTCTGTATAACAACAGTGAACAATGTGAAAAAGAAATTGACACAGGATTTTTTTGGTGCCACATCACCAGCCAGAAATCTCCATGGCTGCTAGCACCTCTGCCCAGATTTTACTCGGGCCTGCTGGTCTTGCTGCACTCATTCAGCCCAGCAGGCTGTGCTCTGCTCACACTACCAATCTGGAACCTGTACCTGCCTTGACTCTGGGCTCAGCCCACAAATGGTCTGACATGCTGCAGCTGGCTATCCCCTTGGGCACCACTGTCTGGGCAAGTGGGACACAGGGGCACCTGAAAACTCAGAAATGCCAGCATTCACGGAGCCCCAGGGGTATTAAAGCTTTTGTGGGGCAAATCCCAAGGTCTGAGCCCTCAGGAAGTGTCACACCTCATTTGGTCCTGCCTCTGCAGCTTGGTTAACCGGGACATGTGGTGCCAAGCAGCTTTCTATCCCCCATGGCTCAGCAAGCAGGAACACGTGTTACAGCTCTTTTCACATCTGCTGTTCAACAGGTTCCAGGTTCTACTCCCACAGCCAGGAGGAACGAGGTATGTGGACCCTGGAGGATGAGCAAGGCAGAGAATAATATTGTATTAGCAACAGAAAAGCTCTGGACAATAGGAGGGGACCTGAAGTGGGCAGCCCTCTGTGTGAGAGGAGGCCTGAAAGCAGGTAGCCATCTGTGAGGCTGAGTCTGGGGTTTTTATTGGCTCAGAATGGGGGATTGCATGCTGATTGGTCCATGGGTGGGCCTAGAAAAAGCACCATTTGATTGGCTAAAAGTCAACAAGGAAGTATTCACTCCAGTCATGGAATCAACTGGAACTGGCAGCTCTGTTTTCAGACTTCAGGCTGTCTTTGGCTTGAAGATTTGGTTTCACCAGGGACCTGTCCCTGTATGCCTAGGAATTTTGTCTGTATCCTGCTGCTATGAAAATCATAAAAGTAATCCCATTTACAAGAGCTACAAATAAAGTTAAATATCTAGAAATTAACTTAAACAAAGAAGTGAATGATCCCTGTAATGAAAACTATAAAACACTGATGAAAGTAATTTAAAAGGACAAAAAAATGGAAATATATTTCACATTCATGGAATGGAATAATTAATATTGTTAAAATGTCCACATTATCTAAAGCAATCTACAGATTCAATGCAATCCTTCTCAAATGCCAATGACATTCTTCAGAGAAATAGAAAAAACAATCTTAAAATTTATTTGGAACCATAAAAGACCCAGAATAGCCAAAGCTAGTCTAAGCAAAAATAACAAACCGGGAGGAATCACGTTACATGACTTCAACTTATACTACAGAGCTATAGTAACCAAAACAGCATGGTTCTGGCATAGAAACAGACACAGAGACCAATGGAACAGAATCAGAACCTAGAAACAAACCCATACACCTATAGTGAACTCATTTTCAACAAAGCTGTCAAGAACATACTTTGGAGAAAAGACAGTGTCTTCAATAAATGGTACTGGGAAAACTGGATATCTGTATGCAGAAAAATGAAACTGGACACTTATCACTTGCCATATAAAAAAGTCAAATCAAAATCGATTAAAGACTTAAATATAAGATCTCAGATTATGAAAATACTACAAGAAAACATTGGCGAAACTCTGCAGGGCATTGCTGTGGACAAAAACTTCTTGATTAATATCCCACTAGCACAGGCAACCAAAGGAAAAATGGACAAATGGGGTTACACCAAGTTAAAAAGCTTTCTGCACAGCAATGGAAACAATCAACAAAGTTAAGGGACAACCCATGGAAAGGAAAAAAAAATTTGCAAACTACCCCCCTGACAAGGGATTAATAACCAGCATATTTAACGAGCACCCGCAAATCTTTAGGAAAAAGTCCAATAATCTGATTTAAAATGGGCAAAAGATTTGAATAGAGATTTCTCAATAGAAGACATACAAATGCAAGCAGGCATATGAAAGGCTGCTCAACATTAATGATCATCAGAGACATGAATCAAAGTCATCTCATATCAGTTAAAATGGTTTATATTTAAAAGGCAGGCAATAAAAAATGCTGGCAAGAATGTGGAGAAAAGGGAACCCTCATATACTCTAGGTGGGAATGTAGACTAGCTCAACCACTATGGAGGACAGTTTAGATCAGCATATGCAAGAGATATCTGCACTACCACATTGTTGCAGCTCTATTCACAATAGCCAAGATTTGTAAACAACCTAAGTTTCTATCGGCAGATGAATGAATAAAGAAAATGTGGGAGTTATACACGTTGGAGTACTATACAGGCATAAAAAAGAGTGAGATCTTGTTCTTTGCAACATCATGGATGGAACTGGAGGTTATTATGTTAAGTGAAATGAATCAGGCACAGAAAGACAAACATCATATGTTTTCACTCATTTGTAGGATCCAAAAATCAAAACAATTGAACTCTTGGAGATAAGAGAGTAGAAGCATGCTTACCAAAGGCTGGGAAGGGTAGTGGGAGAGTTGGGAGAGGTAGGAATGGTTAATGGGTACAAAAAGAATAGAAAGAATGAATAAGGCCTAGTACTTGGTAGCACAATGGGGTGACTGTACTCAATAATAATTTAGTTGTACACCTAAAACCAAAAGAGTATAACTGGATTATTTGCAACACAAAGGATAAATGCTTCAGAGGATAGATACCTCATTTTTTCATGATGTGATTATTATGCATTTCATGCCTGTATCATAACATCTGATGTGCCCCATAAATATATATATACCTACTATGTACCCACAAAAATTAAAAATTAAAGAAACAGAAAATGAGTACAAAATTAGACATGAAATACATGTTTATTTAGAAATGATTTTTTTTTTTCAAGATGGAGTTTCACTCATGCCATCCAGGCTAGAGTGCAGTGGCGCAATCTCGGCTCACTGCAACCTCCACCTCCCGGGTTCAAGCGATTCTCCTGCCTCAGCCCCCAAATAGCTGGGATTATAGGTGCCTGCCACCATACCTGGCTAATTTTTTTTTGTATTTTTAATAGAGATGGGGTTTCACCATGTTGCCTAGGCTGGTCTCGAACTCCTGACCTCAGTTGATCCACCTGCCTCAGCTTCCCAAAGTGCTGAGATTATTGGTTTGAGCCACCGCACCTGGCCAGAAATGAAATATTAAGAGTAGGTTACAAATTTCAACAGGCTGTCTTTGCCATAACGTCACAAGACCAAAAAATAAAGTTAACCCAAAACACACAAATTTTGTACTAATTATCTACTAAGAGAATTCTATAATCTTTTTTTCTAATATTTTCACTGCATGATATTTGTTTTCATGTGCTAATTTTAATATATTAATTTCTTCTTGGCAAAAATAATAGAAAGATACTTTTCCTCTGGCCTTGTGGACCCAAATAATTTTTTTCTATGCTTAACAATTTTGAAAAGTTATTTTTTTCAGATTTACAACACATTATGGTAGCGTTACAAAAACTTTTAGGATTGTCATTCAATTTGGAAATGGCTATCAATTTTCTTTCTTTTATGAACTGCTATAGTGATATATATACTCTTTCTGATACATATAGGTTTGTGCCATACAAAAGAAATTCAAGTCAATACTATAATGCATGATTCCTTTAGTCGGTTGGATAAGATTTTTTTAAAGTTATGTTCAAGTTCTAATACCTGGTAGCAGTGATTATGAGCCTATCTAGAAATGAGATCTCTGCAGATGTAATCAAGTTAAGATGAGGTCATACTAGATTATAGTGGGCCCTAGATTCAATGATTAGTGTCTTTATCATCATCCTGAGCAAACTGTCGCAAGGACAGAAAACCAAACTCACAATAGCAAAGACTTGAAACCAACCCAAATGTCCATCAATGATAGACTAGATTAAGAAAATGTGGTACATATACACCATGGAATACTATGCAGCCATAAAAAAATGATCAGTTCATGTCCTTTGTAGGAAACCATCATTGTCAGCAAACTATCGCAAGGACAGAAAACCAAACACCGCGTGTTCTCACTCATAGGTGGGAATTGAACAATGAGAACGCTTGTACACAGGAAAGGGAACATCACACACCAGGGCCTGTTGTGGGGTGGGGGGATGGGGAGGGATAGCATTAGGAGATATACCTAATGTAAACGAAGAGTTATTGGGTGCAGCACACCAACATGGCACGTGTATACATATGTAACAAACCTGCACGTTTTGTACATGTACCCTAGAACTTAAAGTGTAATAAAAAAAAAAAGGAAAGAGAGATTTGGACACAGGCACATAGAAAAGACAAAGAATAGAAAGCTATGTAGTAAAGACAGAGGCAGAGGCAGAGATTGGAGTGTTCCAAATACAAGTCAAGGAATTCCAAGAATTGCCAGGAGCAAACTGAATCTAGGAAGAGACTAGGAAGGATTCTTCCCAGAAGCTTTCAGATGGCTCGTGGCCCTGCTGAAACCTTGATTTAGGACATCTAGCTTCCGAACTGTGAGAGAATAAGTGTCTGTTGTTTTAAGCACCCAGGTTTTAGTACTTTGTTATGAAAGCCTTAGTAAACTCATCCAATTAAAAAGAGAGAATCTTTAATACCAAATGTGGTAGTTTTAAAATATGTCTACAAAGTATTTGATATTCCTCTCCTTCAAAACACGGAGCTTAATTCCTCTCATTCTCATCCCCTTGAGTGTGGATAAGATTTAGCAACCCACTTCTAATGATTAGAATAAATGGAAAGTGGCAGTGTGAGACTTTGGGAGCTACTTTATAAAATACAGTGGAACTTCCTTCTTGCTGTCTCTCAGATCACTTTCTCTGGGATAAACTAGCTGCTAAATCATGAAGATGTGCAGGTAGCCCTGAAGAGAGGCCTATGTAGTGAGACCCTGAAGCCTCCTGCCAACAGCTATGGGAGTGAGCCATTTTGGAAGTGGATCCTCCAGCTGTAGTCAAACCTTGACTGAAAAGCATCGGAGACAAGAGCCAGAATACACAAGTAAACAGCTCCTGGACAACACAGCCTTGTAGTCTGTGTGAGACAGTAATCGCTGTTGTTTCATGCAATTAGTTTTGAATATGTCAGAGAGCAGCAAGAGATAATGAACATTCTGAGTATAGTCATGATAAGAAAGAAGTTTCATTTGTCTACTTTCAATGACAATTTATTATAGCCTTCAATTCTGTACATTTGATAATTAGAAGATCTTTCACAGATTTATTTCTGGCTCTACATATTTTGCACTTTGTTTTCTCTCTACTTCCTACATGTTTCTAGTCGTTGGTGCTAGAGGGTACATATAAACTCTGGCCAGCATATTATTTTAATAGCGGGAAAATCCACAGAAGCCAATGCTATAACAGGATGGCTAGGAATTACTTAAATATGTGCCACAGTGAGTGCAAACCATGTAAACAGATTTCTGAACCTAATAATGGAACAAAGGAGAATGATAGGAATTAAAAGTGGAATAAGACTAGTCCTAACTGGATATGATTAAAATATTTCATTTTACAAATTTTGCAAAAACACGTGACTAGGTGAACAAATTACTAGGTTTCTCCTAGAGCTGAGAAATTACTAGGTTTCTCCTAGAGCTGATGGCCTTCAAGTGAGGCACCATAAAGCTAAAGTTTCATTAGCTTCACTGTAAATCTACTTCTTAGACCAAGACAATTTAAAAGCCATATATTTTCATTTGTATGTATTAAACCCAAGGGTGGTATTTTATATATTAGTTAAGTTTCTAAACTTACTGGAGATCAATATGAGGCCATTTTAATACATTTGTAAAATGAAAATACCAGACTCAACTAGAGTGCCAAATGAATATTAAATGGTATTTTAAATACGTTACAGCAAGCTTTGATTCTTATAAAAATAACCATCACAGAAATGAGCATGCCAACGATTTGTTAAAACTCATTTGCTTTTAATTGTTTTCTGCTGAATGATAAAATATAGAACAGAGGAAATGCCATCTGCTAGTTCATATTTTCAAGAAATGATAAAGGGCTCACCATCACCCCCTTTTCATAGTGCTGCTCTCAGCATTAAAATGTGCATGACACCAGATTTTCATAGCAAGGAGAAAGAGCATTTAGAATAAAAGAGAATTAAATTGACTTTTTTCTCTTCTGTTTGACAGTACAAAGAATATACAAAAATGTGCACACTAATCAAAGCAAACATGAATATCTGAGATATATTAAAAATATAAAAAATTAAAGTAGAATAGTTTCCACTTTAATTTATAAAATACTTAGATGTTATCACTCCCATCATTAAAGCAAAAAAAAAAAAAAAAGAATGCTGAGCAATCTAAGGGAACAACTCTTCTTAGATCGATTACAGAATTGAGGTCACAGGGCAAATTATCACCTCAAAAGCTAGAGGGACAGGTGAATACAGAGACTCACAGCTTATTGAGAGCAGAAGTCCCTGGAGTCATCAAATATTAGGAACACTAAAATGGTAACTGATGTGTTACTGGAGGTTGCTGCCTTCAGTAAAATTTAAAATCTAGGTGGGTCAGTCATAGGTGGAGGGACGCACACTTTACTGAGTTTTACTTCCAGGAGGCTTACAAGGTTCGACAATGAAAATCAGAGAGAAATCCCTTAATGTTTTGGACAAGGAGAGGGGATAGTAACCATTTTAAAACATGTCCATGGGAATAGTTGCCATTTTGAAATATGCTCATAGCATTCTATGGCAAGGGCTTATTGCCAGGAGACATTACTTTGCTGGGACCCTGGTGATATGGTTTGGCTGTGTTCTCACCTAAATCTCATCTTGAATTCCCATGTGATGTGGGAGGGATCCCGTGGTGGGTAATTGAATCATGGGGGCAGGTCTTTCCCATGCTGCTTTTGTGATCGTGAATAAGTCTCACGAGATCTGATGGCTTTATAAAGAGGAGTTCCCCTGCACAAGTTCTCTCTCTTTGCCTGCTACCATCCATGTAAGACATGACTTTCTCCTCCTTGCATTCTGCCGTAACTGTGAGGCCTCCTCAGCCATGTGGAACTATAAGTCCGTTAAACCTCTTTGTTTTGTAAATTGCCCAATCTCTGGCATGTCTTTATCAGTAGTGTGAAAACAGACTAATACAGTAAATTGGTACTATGAGTGGGGTGCTGCTGAAAGAATACCCAGAAATGTGGAAGCAACCTTGGAACTGGGTAACAGACAGAGGTTGGAGGAGTTTGGAGGCTTAGAAGAAGACAGAAAAATGTGGGAGAGTTTGGAATTCCCTAAAGACTTGTTGAATGGATTTGGCCAAAATGCTAATAATGATATGGACAATGAAATTCAGGCAGAGGTGGTCTCAGATGGAGATGAGAAACTTGTTTGGAATTAGAGCAAGGTGACTTTTGTTAGTTTTGGCAAAAAGACTGGCAGCGTTTTGCCCCTGCCCTGGAGATGTGTGAAACTTTGAACTTGAGAGAGATGATATAGGATATCTGGTGGGAGAAATTTCTAAGCAGCAATGCATTTAAGAGGTGACTTGTGTGTTGTTAAAGGCATTCAGTTTTATAAGGGAAACAGAGCATAGAAGTTTGGAAACTGCAGCCTGACCATGTGGTAGAAAAGGAAATCCTATTTTCTGAGGAGAAATTCAAGCCAGATGCAGAAATTTGCATAAGTACTGAGGAGCCAAATGTTAATCCCTAAGAAAATGGGAAAAAAGGTCTCCAGGACATATCAGAGGTGTTCATGGCAGCCCCTCTCAACACAGGCCCTGAGGCCTAGGAGGTAAAAGTGGTTTCATGGGCCAGGTCAAGGGTCGCCGTGCTGTGTGCAGCCAAGGGACTTGATGCCTTGCATCCCAGCTGCTCCAGCTGTGGCTGAAAGGGGCCAAGGTAGAGCTCAGCATTGAGGACTGTTGGGAAGGCATGATTCGTTTTGAAATGTGAGGGTGAGATTTGGCCAGGGCCATTAGTGGAATGATATGGTTTGGCTATATCCCCACCCAAATCTCATCTTGAATTCCCACATGTTGTGGGAGGGACCCGGTGGGAGGTAATTGACTCATGGTGCAATTCCTTCCCATGCTGTTCTCATGATAGTGAATAAGTATCACGAGATCTAATGGTTTTTATATTGGGAGTTCCCCTGCACAAGTTCTCTCTCTTTGCCTGCTGTCATCCATGGAAGATGTGACTTTCCCCTCCTTACCTTCCACTACGAGTCTGAGTCCTCCCCAGCCATCTGGAACTGTAAGTCCATTAAACCTCTTTGTTTTGTAAATTGCCCAGTCTTGGGTATGTCTTTATCATCAGTATGAGAAGAGACTAATACACCTGACTAACATAAGAGAAGAGCAATTGGATGTGTCTAGACCCCTTTGTCCTTCCTATCTAATATAGGGCAGAGATAAAAAGCTAAGAAATGCTTCTGAAGGTCACAGCATAGGGACTCTGGCTTATTAAAAATGTGGAGATTTAATCATAATATTATAGAATGCTTTTCTTAATACCACATCACCATCTCAACAGAGCTAATGTATGATAACAGTGAAATACAATTAAGAGACCTGCAAGATACAGACTCTGTTTAAGAAGTAGTTTCTAGAAAAATTCAAAGAAAGCAAGACAAAAGCAGGACATTAGAAATTGTAGCTTCTGTCATCTATAGCTACAGCAAACATTAAGTGAACCTAAGTTCTACTAGTTAACAATAAAAGCACATACTACAGGCCTTGTTATTTGAGTTTCTATTACCCAATACATCATTTCCCTTTTTTAGCAACAACAACAAAGAAATTGAAAAGCATTGTAAAGGGTCAGACAAAAAAAAACAACAATATGAAGAGACAAAGCAAACGTCCGAAGCAAGTTCATATCTGACAATACTTGTGAATATTAGACAGAGAATTCAATATCAGGATGGTTAAAATGCTAAGTGCTAATTTAAAAAAGCAGAAAAAACATGCCAGAACACATGGGTCATGTAAGCAAAGAGATGGAAATTCTAAAACATGATCAAAAGAAAATGCTAGAAATAATAAAATTGGGTAACAAAAATGGAGAATGCTTGTGATGGGCTCACAAGTAGACTAGACACAGCTAAAGAAAAATCAATGAACTTGAACATATGTCAATAAAAACATCTCAAACTGAAATGCATAAAGAAAACAAAATGAAAAAAATCCCAGAATATACATGAAAAGAGCAAAACGAGTAGGAGGAGTATTTGAAGTAATAGCTGAACATTTTCAAAAAATTAATGAAAGATACCAAACCACAGATCCAGGAAACTAAGAGAAAATTAAGCATGATAAATATCAAAAAGCCTACACATAGGCATATCATATTCAAAATGCAGAAAGCAACAAAGAGAAAAACTTGAAAGAAGTTGAAGAATAAACACATCCTATCTATAGAGTAGAAGGGCTAATAATTTAATAGGATTTTTTTTTTCAAAAGTCATGCAAGTAGGAAAACAGTAAAGAAAAAGAAAAACCAACCAACCAACAAACCTGAGGAGTTTTGTCATCTATAAATATGACTTGCAAGAAATGCCAAAAGAACTTTTTCAGAGAGAAGAAAAATTATATAGTTTAAAAACTTGGACTATGTAAACAAAGGAAGAGTGTTAGAGAATAAATAAATGAGAGTTAAAAGAAAACCTATTATTTTTCTGATTTCTAGTTGATTTAATAGAAAACTGCTTAAAATATTAATGGTAACAATTTATTGGGTGATTATAGGTATGAATAAGTGAAATGTCTGTAAGCAGTATTATAAAAGATAAAAGAGATAGATTGGGAGTACTTTGTTATAAGGTGCCTCTATTACCTATGAAGTGGTAGAGTGTTATTTAAAAGTATTTAGATTTAGGTGTAAATGTATATTGCAAACTCTAGGGCAAGTATTAAAGAAAATTTTAAAAGAAGTATAATAGATACCCTACAAAATGAGAAAAAATAGAAATAATATGAGGTGTTTAAACCAGAGAAGGCAAAAAGAGAGAAGATTAAAAAAAAAAAAAGAAAAAATGGATGGAATGAAAAACAGTTACAAATATGGTAGATAATAATCTATCTCAATAATTATATTAAATGTGAATGATTAACACACATCAATTAAAAAGACAGACTGAGAAGAGAAATTAAAACAAAAAGTCCCAGCTGTATATGGTCTACAAGAAACCCATTTAAAATATAAAGACACAGATTAAAAGTAAAGGGATGGAGGCTGGGCGCTGTGGCTCACACTTGTAATCCCAGCACTTTGGGAGGCCAAAGCAGGCAGATCACCTGAGGTCAGCAGCTCGAGACCAGCCTGGCCTACATGGTGAAACCCCATCTCTATAAAAAATACAAAATTAGACAGTGGCAGTGGCATGCACCTGTAATCCCAGTTACTCGGAGGCTGAGGCAGGAGAATCGCTTGGAGTCAGGAGGCAGAGGTTGCAGTGAGCCAAGATGGCACCACTGCACACCAGCTTGAGGGCGACAGAGCAAGACTCTGTCTAAAAAAAAAGAAAAGTAAAGGGATGGAGAAAAATATGCCATGTTAACACTAATAAAAGAAAGCTGAAATAGTTGTGCTAATTTCAGTCTAAGCAAACATCAAAACAAAGAAAACTGGCATGGATAAAGAGAATTGTTTACATTATGATAAAGAGATAAATTCTATAAGAAGATATAACAATTTCTCATGTATATGTGCCTAACAACATATATGTGTCTCAAGTATATGTGCCTAACAACAATTTCTCGTGTACATGTGCCATCACTTTTAATGGCAAAATCCACAATTGCTTTTGCACCAACCTAATAGCATTTAATAACGTAAATATAGCTGGGAAATCTCAAAATATTTAAACATACACAGTACACTTCAAAATAACGCAAAGGTCAAGCAGAAGTTTCAAGAGAAATTAAAAATATTTTGAACTCGATACAAATAAAAATATAACAAAAAATAGGGATGCAGAAAAGCAATCTTTAGAAAAAAATTTATAGTATTGAATACATATGTTGGAAGACAGGAAATTTGATCTGTGAGGCCAGCATTTCCCTAATGCCAGAACCAGATATAGACATTGTTACATGAAAGGAAAACTAAAGACCAATATCTCTCACAAACATTGATGCAATTATCCTCAAGAAAATATTTTCAAATCAAATATAAGAATGTTTAAAAAGAATTACAGATATCAACAAAGTGGGATTTATCCCAGGTATTTGGATCTGGTCCAACATTTGAAAATCACTAATGTAACCCATCATGTCAACAGGCTAAAAAAGAAAAATTATATAATTATAACAATAAATGCAGAAAATTAAATGACATAATTTAATATCCATTCCTAATAAACACACTCAGCAAAGTAGGAGTAAAGAGGAGCTTCTTCAACGTGATAAAGAACATCTACAAAAAACCTACAGCTAACGTAATACTTAATGGTAAGAAACTAAATGCTTTCCCCCTAAATTACTAACAAGGCAAGGGTGTCCACTCTTACTCAACATTGTACTTACAGTCCTAAAACAATAAGATGTGGAAAGAAAATAAAACATATGCACATTGGGAAAAAATAAATAAAATTGTGTTAGCTTTCAGATGATATCATGGTCTATGTAGAAAATCTCAAATAATCTACAAAAATAACTGGGAATAAATATAGTGAAGTTTCAAGATAAAAAGTTACTATACATAAATTAATTGTTTTCACGTAGGCAATGAACAAATGGAATTTGTAATTAAAAACATAATACCATTACATTAGAAACAAAAATATGAAATATTTAAGTGTAAGTCTTAGTAGATATACACAATCTATGTGAGGGAAACTAAAAAACTCTGATGAAAGAAATCAAAGAAGATCTGAGTAAATGCAGAGACAATCTATGTTCATGTATAGGAATACTCTATATTGTTATTTTAGAATGTCACTTCTTCTTAACTTGATCTGTACATTCAACTCAATCCTAATCAAAATCTCAGCAGGTTATTCTGTGGATATTGGCAAACTGATTCTAAAGTTTCAATGGAAATTCAACATATCTAAAATAGCCAAGAAAATACTGAAGAAAAACAATATAGAGAACTGAGACTGCTCAACTTCAAGATTTGCTATAAAGTTACAGGAACAAAAAGAGCATGATACTGGTGAAAGAATAAACAAATGTATCTGTGGAATACAATAGAAAACCAAGAAATAGATCCAAACAAATACAGTCAAATGAACTTTAACAAAGTGCAAAGGAAGTTTAAAGGAGAAAGTGAGACATGAAGCCAGCTGGCTTCTGGGTCAGAGGGGTGGGGACTTGGAGAACTTTTCTGTCTAGCTAAAGGATTGTAAATGCACCAATCAGCACTCTGTGTCTAGCTGAAGGTTTGTAAACGCACTAATGAGTACTCTGCATGTCTAGCTAATCGGGTGGGGATTTGGAGAACTTTTTTGTCTAGCTAAAGGATTGTAAATGCCCCAATCAGCGCTCTGTGTCTGGCTAAAGGATTGTAAATGCACCAATCAGCATTCTGTCAAAATGGACCAATCAGCACTCTGTAAAATGGACCAATCAGCTCTCTGGAAAATGGACCAATCAGCAGGATGTGGGTGGGGCCAAATAAGCAAATAAAAGCAGGCCACCAGAGCCAGCAGCGGCAACCCACTCGGGTCCCCTTCCATGGTGTGGAAGCTTTGTTCTTCTGCTCTTTGCAATAAATCTTGCTGCTGCTCACTCTTTGGGTCCACGCTGCCTCTATGAACTGTAACACTCACTGCTAAGGTCTGCAGTTTCACTCTGAAGCGCGAGACTACAAACCCACTGGGAGGAATGAACAACTCTGGACGGGAGGAAAGAACAACCCCGGATGGGAGGAACGAACAACCCTGGACGTGCTGTCTTTAAGAACTGTAATATTCACTGCGAAGGTCTGCAGCTTCACTCCTGAAGCCAGGGGGACCATGAACCCATCAGGAGGAATGAACAACTCCAGATGGGAGGAACACACAAACAAACAACCCTCTTTTAAATGGGCAAAATAACTGTAGAAACACTTCGCCAAACAAGACATGCAGATGGAAAATAAGCATATGAAAAATGTGTTAACATCACATGTCATTAAGGGAATGTGGAAAGCTACAGCCACGTTGGAAGACAGTTTGGCAGTTTTGTACAAAGTTAAACATCATCTTACCACATAATCCTGTACTGTAATTACACTGCTATATGTTTACCCAAATGAAATGAAAATGTTTGTCCACATAGAAACTCACATGCAAACGTTTATAGTAGATTTGTTAATTACCAAAATCTGGAAGCAACAGGATATCTCTTAATAGATTAATGGATAAAAAAGTTGTGCTACATCCATACAATGTAATGTAATAAGGTGCTAGAAAGAAATGAGTTATCATGTCATGAAAACACATGGAGGAAACTTAAATGTGTATTTCTAAGTGAATGAAACCAATCTGAAAAGGCTACATACTGTATGATATATGATTCCAATTACATGACATAAAACTATAGAGGCAATAAAAAGATTAGTACTTGCCAAGGATTCAGGGGACAGGGTAGTAGGGTAGGGAAAAGGAATTAAAGTAGACAGTTTTCAGGGTGGTGAAATTCTTCTGCCTGATACATTAATGGTGGTTACATGATTTTATGAATTTGTAAAGACCAACAGAACTGTACACGAAGAATGAACCCTAACATAAACTAGAGACTTTACTTAATAATCGTGTATCAATATTAGTTCATCAGTTGTAACAAAGGTACACCACTAAAGCAAGATGTTATCAATAGTGGAAACTGTGTGTGCAGTGGGTGGAGGGGAGGAGAGTGGGGAGTATATGGGAACTTTCCGTACTATATGCTAAGTTTATCTGTAAATCTATAACTTTTCTAATAAAGACCACTAATTAAAACAAATAAAAATAAAATAAATAAGATTAACTCTGCTTCGTATATTTCTTTTATAAATATAATAAATTATCTTGGCTAGGTCTAATTCTAGACTGTTAGATTTGCCTTTTGTTGCTAAGAATAGCTCTCAAAAATTTAAAAAGGTAATTTGGTGTATGCAAATCACAACATTCTATGTCTAAAAATACAATGATGATTTTACAATGATTTAAAAGTCACTCTGGAAATTGTACTACAAGGAACTAAATTCACACATACAAGACAAAAGAATGCGCAATATAGGTGTGTGTGAGGATGACATATAAATATTCTCATATATATACCTATATATATACACCTATATATACCTATATATATACCTATATATGTGTGTGTATATATATACATATATATGTATAACATCTTAATGTTATATATAACATTATATAATGTTATATATAACATTATATAATGTTATATATAACATTATATAATGTTATATATAACATAATTATATATTAATGTTATATATAACATCTTAATGTTATACATATATATAACATTAAGAGGGAGAAGAGTTGAGTAAAAAAGATATGTATATGTATATATACATATACATATACATGTATATATAGACACATATACATGTATATACATATACATGTATATATACATATACATATACATATATCTCTTTTTTACTCAACTCTTCTCCCTCTTAATGTTATAGTCTACTTAGGACTTCTGAAGAAATCTGATAAGATGATATTGGACAAACTAGAAAAATGACAATGTGCCAAGCAACCTAAAATATATCCGGAATTGAAAAAGAACATAGAGAATCTGAGAATACAAACTGCTAAGGAAGTGTCAGGCTTGGAAATCAATAACTGAATTGTCAAAAAAACTGCTTCTTTAAACAGGTCATGCCAGCCAATCCAACAGGCTTTCCTAGGTAAAAGACACATACACTATAATGTGTTAGTTTCTGGTAAGGCAATATAATTATTAGAGTGATGTGTCAACTGTTACTGAATGTTCTTATATAGTCTTTCTTGGTAAAAAACATAAAATATCCACGATTAAGTTGAGGTGACTATTTGTACATTTCAAATGAGTTATTTATTGAGAGACCTCTGTCCTTTGAAAAGAAATGCAAGAATGCTATCAGACTGATGATCAGGCAAGATTTGGATTAACAACAAAAATAAAACACAATTCTTATTACTCTAAGAAGAGATGAGTTTACTGCACTCATTAAAATAGTAAGATGTTGCAACTAACATAGTATTATGGGTATAGTGCTCCTTTTTCTGCTGTCATATTTTAATTTTTCCTGTAGATAGAAATTCAATACTTATTTTAAAAGACCTTTGTCCCTTGAAAAACAGCAATTTGTGAAGACTCAGATGGCAAAAATGCAAACCTCTAACCTTCGTACAGTGTAAATGAGATTATAATTGAGAGAAACACATTTACAATGTTCTTATAATTTAATTCTTTGTAGTCATTTCCATTAGGATCATTTCCATTTTCTAATCATAATGATGCTGGCTCAGAAAATACTAAGAAAGGATACATTCTGGATGTCAACTCAACCATCATATTGACGTTTAGTTTTCTGAGAACGCAAATCTCTTTCCTGATTGAGAAATCATGGAAATAATCTTTCCAAGGTATGATATTAGTAACTGGATTATGTAAAAGGACAGAGATCTACTTTTTTTCTAAATTGTATAGCCACTAGAGGAGTATTCTATATAAATATGGGTCAGAACTAATGGTCTACTCTACATGCCTGGAGTGACTGAGGCAAATTTCTACAAGTTCTCACTCAGAATTTTTCAGAATGAAGAGCTTCATAAAAATGATGACGTTTGACCAAAAATACAAACAGTATTTTATAACCTTGTAGACTCTGTTTCTGAACTTTTGTGGCCCTTTGATTATATATATATATTATACCAGTTCTATCTTTAAGCATTTGTAATCTTTATTTCTGAATGGGTCTTCTATATTTTACCTATCTCTTTAAATACTGATGCGGGTAAGAGTTTTTAATAACTTTATCTCCCATTTCATCCAGCATATTCATTTTCACAAATAGCTATTCAATACATATGTATTGAATGGGTGGGTAAATTCTTAAGAATATAGTCCAAAGAAGTATTTAATCCTCCTTACTCTATGGAAGAAAACTGTGATAAATATAAGTGTTAAGCTCAAAATGCCTATATTTATGGATCTTAAAATTAAGAGAGAGAAGAAGCAAATATAAAAACAGGACTGAAAAAAGTATGGTACCATACCTTCACAAAAGCTGTCCTAAGAAGCAAATACATATTGTTAAATGATAAAAATCTGATTAGATCACACTTTGCATAAAACCCTTTGAACTTAGCTGATTGTTTTAAAAATACATTCTAAAGGCATTAGCATTGTTTCAAAGATCTTAGATCAGACCTCTCTTACCTACACAGCCTCATCTACTGTCACTCTCCACTTTATTCGTTTCATTTATTTATAATTAGTTAAAAATATTTATTGAGTAACTTTTAAGTGTCAAGCATTATACTAAACACCAATGATGAAGTTGTTGAAAAAAAACAGCAAGATTACTGTTCCTTTGAATATTATATTCCACTATACACACGTGGCAAGGGTGGAGGAAGAAATTAGAAGGGATGCAATAAGGAGTCAAACAAGTAAATATGTAAGTAAATGAATGGAGATAATTTCGCATAATGATCAGGAATCAAATGGAATACCAGGACAGAAAGTGACTTCTAGGACTGTTCAAGTTTGTGTGTTCAAGATGGCTTCTTGAGGTATGGATTAGAAAGAATTTCAGGCAACGAGAATAGCCAGCTGCTTAGAATATACCAAAATGTGTATTCTTGTTTGAAACCAATGAGGATGAATATGACAGTAAGGGAGAAGTATCCCACAGCTGTAGTACACAGCTTCCCTTTAAATCACTAGAAATTATTAGCAGCTGCCTTCTAAATTGTAATGTTTGATTGGACTTTCTGAAAATTCTGAAAGGAGAAATCTGTGCTCCATAGAAAACATAATAAAAAAATTTCTGTGGGCAAATAGAAAGGCATATAGCAATAGTGTGTGCATATATATATATATATATATATATATATAGTTGTTCAGATTTCCTTAGTTTTTTTGTTTGTTTGTTTTACTTTAAGTTCTGGGATACATGTGCAGAACATGCAGGTTTGTTACATAGATATACATGTGACATGGTGGTTTGAGGATAGCATATTTTCATCTGAGAGTCACAGAGATAAAAATGAAAACTGAAGTATAACTTAATAGGGACTTCATGATGATAGATTTTAACAACAAAGTTGCTCATGCCCATAATTCCTGTGACCCAGGAGGCCGAGGTGAGAGGATTGCTTTAGCCCTGGAGTTCCAGACCAGCCTGAGCAACATAGCCAGACCCCAGCTGATATGGTTTGGCTATGTCTTCATCCAAAATCTCATCTTGAATTGCATTCCCTGTAATCCCCATCATCCCCACGTGTCACGGGAGAGACCAGGTGTTGGTAATTGAATCATGGCAGCAGTTTCCCCCATTCTCTTCTCAGGCACAGTGAGTAAGTTCTCACGAGATCTTATGGTTTTAAAAGTGTTCGGTAGGTGTTCTGTTGCTTTTTCTCGCTCTTGCTGTTCTCTGAAGTTCCTTCTGCCGTGATTGTAAGTTTCCGGAGGACTTCCCCAGCCATGATGAACTGTGAGTCACTTAAACTTCTTTCCTTTATAAATTACCCAGTCCCAGGCAGTTCTTTATAGCAGTGTGAAAATGAGGACTAATGTACCATCTCTACTATATAATCTAACAATTAAAAAATAACAGGTAAGAGTTTTTGAGTCACGCAAGATTGATTTGGGTTCTGTTGAAAAAAAATTGTAGCAAAATGATCCATTGCAAAATTTTGAGTAATATACTTTGTGGTATAGGTTTTTGTCTATTTTGGGAGCTTGAAATGTGAATATTTTTTGAAAATACTTTTTCACAATTAAAATATGAAAATTTTCCATAAGCAAAATCTGTTAACATATAGAAGACTTGGTAAATCAATAAGGACATTAAAAATAATTAGAAGATTATTTGTAGTGTTACTTTGAAAGTTACGTGGCTAAATTTGTCAGATATTTGAAAGTTTAAAACTTCAAATGATTATAGTTTTGAATTTCATTTGCTATGTTTTGTAGGTTAGATTTTTTTTTCTTCAAGAGGAGTAGGAAGAGTGTGAAGCTCTAGAAAAAAATGTAGATTGTACGTGATTTAGTTATATTTCAGTACTTTTGGTGCTGGCCTTTTTCTTATAACTATTGAATGTTTATATATCTTCAGCGAATTTAATAAAAAATAGTTTTCTTCATTGACAGAGAACATTATATCACCAAGTTAAGATAACAAAGTTATTAATAATTCCCAATCCCGATTGAGTTCTTTACTGTAGTAATAGCAGTTTTTAAATTTAAAACACACACACACACTCACACACACACACACACACACACACACACACGTATATACAAAAGTACTTTATGGATAACCTCCCAATTCTCAATCTGGAGTTTCATAATCCACAGACTAGGTTAATTGATAAGGAAAATTGTCACATATAAAAGATACTATTTATAAAAGATACTACTTGTATTTGAAAACTTCAAAATCATCACAGTGTAATCCTTTTGACTATAGACCTCGAATATAAGAAAAATGTGTATTAAGAACAAACAAGAAGGAATTATGGCAATTAGAAACTGATGAGCAAATGCTAAGTCTCAGGCTATAATGTTTCTAAATAAATACCAATTCAGTTCAGCTGTGGGCAGCCATCAGCACCATTATTGTGATTTCCATTTGAGCTCGACTTTTCCTAACACCAGCTGATTCCCTCCACATTGCATTCCAACAAACACAGGTTTGACTGTGCTTCTTCGCACAGCTTTCAGTCACCATGCACAATGAACTTCCAGGGTACATTATTATGGTCGAATAAGACAACTGGATGGAGTTCTAAATCCATGATTATTTTATTACTGCTATTTAGATATTTGCAAGCCAAGATCACAGGGAGGGTAATCTAATCATGTATTTAAAGTTGCTGCTGGAGGGCTGCTATTGAAGAAAGGGTTGGACATTTCCTTGGATAGAATTAGCAGCAAACTGCAATTTCCTAAGCACTGTTTTGCCCTTAGTATTTCATTGCCATTTAGTTAGGATACAGTAGATACAGACCAGTCTTATTGTTCATTAACAAAATATTCTTTCTCAAAATATTTCATTTAACTATAAACTATTCTTACTGGTCATTTCCATATGCAAAAGTGTTTCCTTTCCCTTGAATTTCACAACCTTTTAGATTAATTCAGGATATGTATATTGGACATTTACATTCCACTTATTAATAGAACTAAGCAAGCCATACTTTCAATGAATAATCCAAGGAAGAAGTATTGATTAAGTAGTTTCATTTGGCTTGGCAATTCTTTTTTCTTGTACATAAAATTGGCATTTTGAAACGTGAGTTTAAATTGAATTACTTTGTAGCTACATCCAATGTTCTGAATGACTATCTGAACAAGATCCAAAATCTATATATTACCACAGTTTAATATCTCAGGCATTTTTCATATTAACTGTAAATCACTTTAATTAAATCTTATAAGCGCAGGAGTTTTCAAGGCTGTTAAATAAGCTGCTCACTTGAAGTATTAAAGTCCAAACTGTCATATTTTTATACAATGTTAAGCTCGCATTGGCCTCAGTCTGATGAAATGACAGCATTCTTCACTGGTAAAGTGAAGACATGTTAATTTATTAGCTTAATTTCTGCTGGTGCAACCATTGTATGCGTAACAGGGGTACTTGAAGCAAAGAACAGAAATATGAAGTACATACTGAGATGAGTAGAATCCAAGGATCTTGTATAAATGATGGGTGACTGGATTTCTACTTAAAAAAAAGAGCAATCTCTTTTTACTCTTCGTTAAAATGTTAATGCCTTGTGCAAAGTCCTGATATTATAATTTTTCTGTATATTCTTGTCTAACAGTGATTTTTCTTAATTAATTACAATTTAAAAGCATTGATGTGTTCAAATATGTTAATATTTTATTGTGACCTAAAATGTCCATCTTAATTCATTTACAAATTTCAAAAAGACTAATAATATCCTAAATGCCCATCTTAATTCATTTACAAATTTCAAAAAGACTAATAATATCCTAAATGCCCATTAATAGAAGAATGGGTAAATAAATAGTGGTATCTAATGGAATAAAATAGAAAAAAGAAAATAACAGAGTAACAGTCCATGTCCTTGAAAGATGAGTAATGCTGTGAGGGGCACAAGAGGGTTTTTGGAGGTACCTGAAACGTTTTCTGTCTTGATCTGGGTGCTGGTTATGTGTTCACTTGTAAAGTTCATCACATTTTATTTGTGTCTCTTTATTGATGTATCAGTAAGAAGTAGTAAATATTTTATTTTTCAATAAAATGCGTCACTTGTTCTCTGAAAGGGGAAACACCAGTTTCCTCAGTATATTAAAAAACCTATTAAAGTATAAAAAGTTAAATTACATAAATTTTGATAAGCTCCTTTAATAAGCTCATTTAAATAATACCAATGTTTGAGAATAGTGGCTAAATGAATAAGATATATTTTTAACCAAACTTGGTCTCTAGTAAAGCCTCCATGGTGCCAAGATCTTGTTGTGTGAAATTTCCGGTTAAATTAGGGCGGAAAGAGTGAAGGTGGGACGATAATACAACTACTGAGACCAGTTTTGGGATGTCAGGAGAAAGATTTCTTTCCTATCCCTGGAAACTCACCTTGTATGTATTCCGTAAGCTAGTGAGTTTAAATTAAAAATGAATACTTTCCACTTAAGGTAAAATTATGATGGTGAATTTAGGTTCATTTCTCCTGTTATGTGGATACAACCAAAGGTCTGCATCATGTACATACCAAATGAATAACTGGCCAATCACACGGACCCATCTTCAAATCTTTAGAAGCATCAAATCAGATGAATGAAAAATGATGGGTCAAACCAATGAGAGCATTTAACAATCAGAAAAGTAGGTTATTTTCTTCTTTAGACCATGTTATTAAAAATGGTTAAAAACAACTGTCAGAATGGAAGGATGATTCTTAATGAACAAAGAAATCAATATTTTTCCTTTTTTAGAATGGATGGAAATACATTTTCCAGAAGAGGAGAAAGCAGGCAGTAATATCCTCCTTTAAATTTGTATTGTTTTTGAATGACTGCACATTCTCACGTATTTACATTTGATGTGATAAATCATCACCATTCATTGGATATAAAATTCCAGTGAATTTCGGGTATAAAATTGTCATCCTTTTATGTAAGGAAAGAATGGACTAATTTACTTGGTTCATTTTTGAGGTTTACATGGGTCTGTTAATTTGTCTTAAGAATTTTACATATTAAATTATATTTGTATGAATATGAACCAAAATAACCACTATATATATAGGCAGTTATACATATTGAAATACAAATATGACAATTTGTGCTAAAATGTATGTCGTTAGACATGTGTATTTGTTACTCATAAAAGCTCTATACAGAAAATTATCAAGTTGTTACGCATAATGTGTATAACTTTTTTACAAATTTACTGAAACATAATTTGCATACCATAAAATTCTACATTTCAAGTTTAAAGTTCAGTGTTTTTTAATACATTCACAGAGTTGTGCAAATAGGACCACAATTTAATTTTAGAACATTTAAATTAAAAATTCCTGGGATGAGAGTTGTTTCTGGCTCCTTATTTTGAGTAGGACTCATTCCCTGACTCCTGAGTGAGAAGTCTTTCTTCCTGACTGTTTTGAGAGAGAATTTATTTCGTAACTCCATGAGCTGAGTTTATTTCTTCATGGCTCGCTCTTTTGAGTGGAAATTTATCCCCTGATTCTGTGGGCTACAAGCCTTTTTTTTTTTCTGGGTCTCTGTGTCAAGTGGGGATTGCTCCCTGACATTTTGGGTTGGAAGATTGTTTTTTTCCAGGCTCTATGTGAGTACTTCTGTTTCTTTATTTGATCCTGTTTCTCACATGATAACTTCTAGTCAACTCAAATCAACTTTGTGAATCCCTCTTCACTGTATGTCCTGCCAACTCTGTCCATGTTCTTTTTTTTTTTTTTCTTCGAGATGGAGTCTCGCTCTGTCACCCAGGCTGGAGTGCAGTGGCGCCATCTCGGCTGACTACAAGCTCTGCCTCCAGGGTTCACGCCATTCTCCTGCCTCAGCCTCCCGAGTATCTGGGACTACAGGCGCCCGCCACTATGCCCGGCTAATTTTTTGTATTTTTTAGTAGAGACGGGGTTTCACCGTTTTAGCCAGGATGGTCTGGATCTCCTGACCTCGTGATCCGCCCACCTCAGCCTCCCAAAGTGCTGGGATTACAGGCGTGAGCCACCGCGCCCGGCCTGTCCATGTTCTTTTTGTTGGCTTGAATTTACTAAGGATAAATTGGAATGTCTTTAGCCTTTTTGGAAAACTTATGATCTCCCCAAACTAGCATCTCCAAGACCTCTCCTTTCTCATTCTTTCTACTCTTCCTTATTTCTTTTACCACCTTGGGTTCTCATTCAGTTCTATTGAATCCTTTAATGTGTCCTCCTTCAAAATCCTAACAGTTTGTCCCTGCCTTTTAGTTTTCTAAAGACACTTGAAGTTTAAACTCTCTACTGCATAAGGAGCCCCTCAAGGATCTGCCAAAAGCAGCAACCTGAGACTGAAAAGGGGAAATGCTAAGTGGAAACAGTCTGAACATTGTATCAACTCAGGTAAGCTTTAGAGACATCTGGGTAGCTGCTAGGTGTTTCCTCAGTCACTCGTCTAAAATGTGGTCCACAGCCTCTGTAAGATTACGTATCAGGGCAAAAGAAAATCTTAAAAGTTCTCTCTACAAATAATGATTTTTTAAAAAAAGCTTTAGCTCTTATTCAACTTATCTTATTTTTGTCAGAAACACAATTTGGATAAAATGCAAAGTGGAAATAAGTTTTGTATGACTGTGTTGCCTGACTTATGACTAAAATTTTCAAATAAAATCTATAAAATAACTTTGTCTCTATGAATGTACCTATATATGGTGTTTGTACATATGCATATATACACATATGTACATACACTTTTTTCTTTCAGGATGATATTACCAAATTATAAAATCCCTTAAAGAAATTCTACTTAAATTGGCTTAAAAATAATTGAACACTTATATAAGTTAAATACTCCTAAAATTCATAGAAATATGAAACTTACCCAGTGCTTTTCAAGTTTACATGATTTGAGTAAATCTTTAGTAAATAAAATCAGTTTAATATTGTTGGTTTAATACAAACAGCTATATCTTCTGAGTTATGAGCTTTAAGTATAAGACAAGCATAAATTTTTATTCTGTTTGAGTTTACTAGTTGAATAAAGTAATAATGTATGTACTTGATGTTTGAAATTGTAAAAATTTAAATTCAACCTAAAACAAATGTATAATTCCACAAACAGGAGAAATGAGTTACTTGATATCCAGTACTTCATATATATCAAACACAACAGTAAAACAAAGAAACTCGTGTATTTAACTTATTAAAGTTTTCTATTTGCTTTTATTTAGTCTAGCCTGCATATGCTGTGAAAATAGTTAACCAGAAAGTAACTTGAGATTATGGCTGACTGTGTCTGGTGTTACAGTATATCTGCCCAAAAACAGTTTTCAAAATCTTCTTGCTAACTATCAAGCTTAGTGTTACGTTAAGTAATACATATTCATTAATAATTAATTAGGATACACTACTAAAATATTCATTACTAATCACACATTTAAGTTTATATAGTTTTGGTGTCTTGTTTTTATACAATATACAGAAGTTGAATATATTTGGGTCTGTTAACAAAAATGAGAAATGTACTATGAGGAAACAGCATATAACTATAAGAAATATGAGATGGTATATTCATAAAATTTGCAAGTCTGTTATCAAAATCCTGGTATATGACAGATAATTGTCTACTTTGTCTATTTCTTGATTTTCTCAGTGAAAGAATGGCTGCTAATAGTTAATAATTATAATCAATATATGTAATTAAAACTACTAGAAATAATAAGAGTGATGGGAAACAACTCATATGAAAAGTATGCAAGGAATGTCGGTTTTTTTTATATGAAAAGATATACAAAGTAGGAAGGATGTGTTTTTTGTTAAAGGGATATAAAAGAGTAATTTTCTTCTAAAGTAAGATGACTGGTGTTCCAGAAAGAGAAAAATGTAGAAGAAAAAAAAAATTGAATGGATATAAGAAGGGTGTAGAAAGTTTGCAGAAAAAAGATATTATCTAATGTATTCAAGCTGTCTAATGATTGGAAGATATTTATTTATGTGTTTTATTTTAATGAGCCTCACATCAAAACTGTATTATGTTAAACTAGTATTTGGTTTTATCTCTGTCAAAATGGCAACATTTTCTTGGGTTATTGGTCTGTTCTAAATACGAGATTTTTTTTTTCCTTGACTCAAGTAATCTGAGAAAAAAGATTCTGTGTTTTTTAAAAAATAATATGTGCATTATATTAACCTTTAACCAAGGACTTGACTAGAATATCATATTTGAGGATGACATAACCATTCAGCTTTAAAGAACTAAGGCCTACTTTACTGAGCCAATGCTTAAAAAGCCCTCCTGGAAAAACTGGCCTGGTATCTGGCTTATGGGATTTCCAGTTTTACAGATGAGTAAGTAAGGTTCCTTGCAGGCTCAGGAACATCAAGATATTTTGAGGACTTTAAGAAAAAAGAATTTCATCTAAATCTATATGTACTGCAAGCAAAATCTGGTGGTGAGTTCTTGGCTTTGCTTCCTGGTCTTGAGAGATTTATAAAAGTCCAATCTGAGATTCCAATGAAAAGTTCCAGGAAGACAAATTCAAAAAGACCTATGTAGTCAGTTACCATTCTTGCTGCACTTATGTAAATAACCAAGCCAAATCTAATGAGACCAGATTTATTTTGTAAGCAACAATCAAAAGGGGTCGGGGGTGAGTGTAGGGAGAAATGTTCTGTTTCAACAAAAAACTATAGCGTACACTGCGTGTTACTATCTGAAAACTGGACTGTATCAATTCTAGTTTCTTCCAATATTTGGCTATGACTCTCCAAACCAATGGAGAGTTTCCATTTTTTTTTCTCCCACCTTCCTGACTTGGCATCACTGAGAACTGAAACTGCCCTTTTCCCCAAGCTCAGCAAGCTGAAGCTAGATGTTTTGATACAAACTTCAAAGAAACCACCACACAAGTAAAAAAATATGTATGGGCAATCTACATGCTTGCTGCTGTATGGGCCACTAAGAAAGGTTACAGAAATACCCAGTGTCATAACCAAAGACATTAATACTGCAAACCAGGAAATTAATTGGATTGCCACTACCAACTTTGAGCCCAACATCCAGAAATCTTACTGACTGGCTACCCTCTGAACTCAGACTGGGTTTACAACTATTAATATTTTTCTTCTTTTATTTTCATAGAATTCCTCTTCATTAATGCCTGACTGCTTGCACCAGCCAGCAAATATCTTCTACTACTGACATGGTTTGGCTATGTCCCCACCCAAATCTCATGTTGAATTCCCACGTGTTATGGGAGGGACCTGGTGGGGAGGGAGTTGAATCATGGGGGCAGATCTTTCCCATGCTGTTCTTGTGATATTGAATAAGTCCCATGAGATTTGATGGTTTTAAAAATGGGAGTTTTCCTGCACAAGCTCTGTTTCTTGCCTGCCACCATCCATGCAGGATGTGACTTGCTCCTCCTTGCCTTCTGCTTTGTGAGACCTCCCCAGCCATGTGGAACTGTAAGTCCAATAAACACCTTTCTTATGTAAATTGCCCAGTATGTCTTTATCAGCAGTGTGAAAAAGCCCTAATACAATAAATTGGTACCACTAGAGTGGGGCATTGCTGAAAAGATACTTGAAAATGTGGAAATGACTTTGGAACTGGGTAACAAACGGAGCTTGAAACAGTTTGGAGAGCTCAGAAGAGGAGAAGAAAATTTGGGAACCTTTGGAGCTTCCTAGAGGTGAATGGCTTTGCCCCAAATGCTGATAGCCATAAGGACAATAAAGTCCAGGTTGAGATGCTCTAAGATGGAAATGAGAAACTTTTTGGGGGCTGGAGCAAAGATGACTCTTTTTATGTCTTAGCAAAGAGACTGGTGGCATTTTGCCCCTGCCCTAGAGATTTGTGGAACTTTGAACTTGAGAAAGATGATTTAGGGTATCTGGCAGAAGAAATTTCTAAGCAGCAAAGCATTCAAGAAGTGACTTGGGTGCTGTTAAAGGCTTTCAGTTTTATAAGGGAAGCTGAGCATAAACATTTGGAAACTTTGCAGCCTGACAGTGTGTTAGAAAAGAAAATCCCATTTTCTGAGGAGAAATTCAAGCCAGCTGCAGAAATTTGCTTAAGTAATGGGGAGCCAAATGTTAATCCCCAAGACAATGGGGAAAATGTCTCCAAGGCATGTCAGAGGTGTTCACTTCAGGCCTTCTCATCACAGGCCTGGAGGCCTAGGAGGAAATAGTGGTTTTGTGGGCCAGGTCCAGGGTCACCATGCTGTGTGCAGCCTAGTGACTTGGTGCCCTGCATCCCAGCTGCTCAAGCTGTAGATGAAAGGGGCCAATGTAGAATTTCGGCCATGGCTCCAGAGGGTGCAAGCCTCAAGCCTTGACAGCTTCCACATGGTGTGGAGCCTGCCAGTGCACAGAAGTCAAAAATTGGGGTTTGGGAACCTCCAACTAGATTTCAGAAGATGTTTGGAAATGTCTGGAAGTCCAAGCAGAAGTTTGCTACTGGGGTGGGGATCTCATGGAGATCCTCTGCTGTGGCAGTGTGGAAAGGAAATAATGTGGTTGGAGCCCCCACACAGAGTCCTTACTGGAACACTTCTTAGTGGAGCTGTGAGAAGAGGGCTAACATCCTCCAGACACCAGAATGGTAGATCTAGTGACTGCTTGCACCGTGCACCTGGAAAAGCCGTAGACACTCAACTCCAGTTTGTGAAGGCAGCAGGGAAGGAGGTTGTGAAGCCACAGGGGTGGAGCCACCCAAGACCATGGGAACCCACCTCTTGCATCACCGTGACCTGGATGTAAGACATGGAGTCTAAGGAGATCATTTTGGAGCTTTAGGATTTGACTGCCCTGCCAGATTTCAGACTTGCATTTCACTTGTTGAAAATATTTTCAGTAGCCCCTTTGTTTTGGCCAACTGCTCCCATTTGGAACAGCTGTATTTACCCAATACCTGTACCCTCATTGTATCTAGGAAGTAAATAAATTTCTTTTGATTTTACAGGCTCATAGGCAGAAGGGACTTGCCTTGTTTCAGATGAGACTCTGGACCGTAGACTTTTGAGTTAATGCTGAAATGAGTTAAGACAACTGGGGGACTGTTGGGAAGGCATGATTGGTTTTGAAATGTGAGGATATGAGATTTGGCAGGGGTAGATGATGAGATTTGGCAGGGGTAGATGATATGATTTGCCTGTGACCCCACACAAATCTCATCTTGAATTTGCATATGTTGTTGGGGGGAGCTGGCGGAAGGTAGTTAAATCATGGGGACAGGTCTTTCCCTTGCTGTTTTTGTGATAGTGAATAAGTCTCATGACATCTGATAAAAATGGGAGTTTTCCTGCACAAGCCTTCTCTTACCTGCTGCCATCCACGTAAGTAGTGAATTGCTTCTTCCTAGCCTTCCGCCATGATTCTGAGGCCTCCCCAGCCACGTGGAGCTGTAAGTTCAAGAAACCTCTTTCTTTTGTAAATTGCCAGTCTTGGGTATGTCTTCATCAGCAGTGTGAAAATGGACTAATACAACTACCAAATCCCAACAAATGATTTAGCTGCTTCTTAATGAACAGAAGAAATGAATTTATATTGTTCAAAGGACTTCACATTTGTTCAAATGAAAGGACTAACAACAGCCTTTCTCCTTCATTAAACTAGTCAGGCTCTTCTGAATCCTCTTCCCAACTAAGCTTTAACTTTTATACTTCTGTTCTTCTTTGCATTGCCTAATTTTGGAAAGAGTCCTGTTAAGTCAGTTAGGCCAGAAGAACAACCCTTGATACATAATTACCCTCAATTTCCCACTAAATTTCTCATCTTCCACCATCACCCAGGTGATATCTGATCACTCTGGTCTGCCTTCACCAAGAATCCTGTTAGGTCATTTTAGCCAGAATCTTCCCTTACCCCTGGTGTTTCCTCTTAGTAATGTTCTTTGCACTGACATCCCCACCCTACTCCTTGGCTATAAATTCCCACTTTTCCTTGTTGCATTTTTGTAGTGGAGGCCAACCTCTCTCCCCCGCTGCAGAACTTCATTGCAGTAGTCCCTATACCTATTGTGATAGTCCGTCTGAATAAAGTGTGCTGTAACTGTGTTTTTAACACCTTAGAAATATTTTTCACAGGTGATGGTAGGTATGGAAAAAAATAAGTTTAATGTGTGAAAACCATAAAGTGCTTGGTTACTAAACATAAGGACTAGAGAAGGGAAGGAAATAAGGAAATCTTCTGTTTCAACTCTAAGTCAAAAGAACAGTGGTAGAGCAGACAGAGTTAAGAAACTTCCAACAGGACTTAGAAAGACATGTAAATATTTAAGTCATAAATATCTCTCTTTAAATGGAACTGCCTCTAAAATATATCTGAAAACAAAACAAAACAAAACAAAAAAAAGAATCGATTTCCTAACACAGAAGGCATTCAAAAGTTTTCCCTTGATGTTCAGTCTTTTCCCACTCTTCTTTGTAATCACGAAATTCAATATTGTGATTCGTTGTTTATCATATCTGCCTTTTCTACCAGCCTGTAATCTTCTAGAGATCTTCTTAATAACTCTAGTATCTAGCACAATATAAATTCTCAATGAATTAAAACAGTATCTAAGACCAGGGTGATTCTCTAATTCTTTTACCAAATGAGGGAGGGTAAGATATTTTGGACCCATATTTTGAGTCCTACCAACTACCCAGAATGCTATAATAGCCTGGGAAGAAGAAATCTTTATATTCCTTGAACTCTTAATGTAGTCCTCTAAAAAACCCCTGAGGTGGTTCTGATACTTGCCTATTGCCTTCTGCCTGCCTTCCTCATTGAGTCTCCACTGGGTCACTTCAGTTTAAATTGAATATAAAACTTCTAAACAGTGTCTTCACAGCAACTATCAATTTTAAATATTTTTTGGCATGCAAACTCTCCATTAGTAAAAATTCATCCTGAATAATCTATTCAAAATACTTCTTATATTTGATGCCTCGCTGTCATGAATCAAAATCACTAATTATTCTGACTCCTTTAAATTTATTCATAGCTCATGAATTGGTCCTTCACTATACTGACCTCATAGTAGTTCTTGAAATGGACAATGGATTATCTTGTCCTTGTGTTAGAAAAGTAACTTCTAGGACTTCTACTTCAAGTCAGCTTAGTAGAAATCCCATGTGTTTTCCCATGCAAGAAAAGAAAGTGATGTAACTATCTGTTTCTGGTGAATTAAATTGCGTAGTCTTCATATTGTGCAAGGTAATAGGACATATTTAAGGTGTATAATATTTATTTTTTTAAACATCTTCCTCAGTGAAATGAGAATTCATTCCATAATTTAAAGCCTCTTTTTTGTTCCGGCTTAAAAAATTTCCTGTTAAGACTCTAATTTTCATAAATAAACTGCCTCCATTTCTTTTATATGTAATCTTGCAATAAAAGAAGGATAATCTTCTAGCCAAGAAATTTCTCAGAGACAAATTTAAATACTGGTTATTCAGTTGGGTTTTAGCAAAAGGTAAATTTCTAAACTATAGGACAATGCATTTATAACTTACTTGGTTTTGACAGTGATCTGATCCTCCTGGCAAATTTAAAAGGTGTCAGGTATAAAGTAACAGGCATATTTTCTGGAAATGTGTGTATCATCTCCCTGTTATTGAGGATCAGCTTGACATCATTGCGAAATTTATATTTGAAACGTATTCTTTGGTTGTCACAGTAATGTTTGGAAATTCGAAAGCCAGAAGAACTGGCAGTACTTTTCCAAAGCTTCATTTTGAGGAAGTATAAATAGAGAATATTACTGCCATGTAGGCCATTTCTGGAGGGATAACTGTTTAAATAAGAAGAAAACACCTGGGCAGAGTCCTTGATCGTTACAATTAGAGACTTTAAATGACAACCTTAGGGACAGGTCTAGCAAGAATTTTACTTGCATTTCCAATCACTTAATAGTCAGACATTTATTACCTATGTATATTTTTTACTCATCAAACATATATTGCACTCTTACAGTTTTTAAAGCCTTGTCTAATAACTAAATACACAGATAGTTCAGATGTGGTCCCTGTCTCTGCCTCTTTGTTCTTTTCAAAACATTTTAACAGAGCTAATTTTTTTCTTACATTAAAAGGAAACTGAACTGATTTTATGTTTAAAAATGAATGAAGTAGTAATTCCATCATCCAAATGCAATTTATTTTTTAAACTGTAAAGAAGTACACATGACAAAGAATTTACCATCTTGACCATTTTTAAGTGGTCTATGATTCAGTTAAGTGTGTGTTGCACAGCTACCCCCAGATGTCTTTTCTTCCTGTAAAACTGAAGCTCTCTACACATTAAACAAAAACTCACCTCTCCCCCAGCCCCTGGCAACGCCATTCTACTTTCTTTCTCTGAGTTTGACTAATTTAGGTACCTTATATAAGTGGAATAATACTGTACTTGTCTTTTTGTGACCACTTGTTAAAATATAACATCCTCAAGTTTCATCCATGTGTACCATGTATCAGACCAAATGCAGTTTCTTCTAATATTTTACTTCCTTTCAGTCATATTTATTTTAATTTTACAAATATTTTGCTGTCTGCAGTGTTCACTTAACCTGACAAGTATTTTCTTATGTGTTAGAAAATCTTGGGAGTGTAATTTTTCATGACTGCATTTACACATTTACAGCACGTGTATTTGCTATTTTGAATTCAGCTTGACTCTGTGACTTTTAATTGGGGAGATCAATTTTTATATATTTTGGCATAATTTTTTTTGGCATTTAAAAAAAATTTTTCGAGCCATGGAAAGCCACTGCTGGGTTTTACACAAAGGATTCACATTTTGAATTTGTGTTGTAAGAAGCTCACACTGATTGAAGGACAGAGAAAGGATTGGAGAGCAGCCAGAGGGAATGCAGAAAGTTTAGGTAGATAGCTATTTTTGTGATCCAGAATTGAGGTAATGGACACTTCTACTGATGATATGGATTATACAGATGAAGAAAGTAGATGGGAGCTAAAAACTCACTGCATTTATTAGATTGGAACTAGATGGTGGGAGATAAGAGGTGACAAGGATGATTCTTGGAATTCTGCATTGCATAACTAACTGGATGCTGGTGCCATTTGTAGAAATATTGGGACTAAGTTTGTTGGGAGGAAGACTACAGGTTTGTTATGGGACATAGTAAGTCTCAGCTGTCTTTGAGACATCTATTGAAAGATGGCCAAGTGGGCTGGGTGCAGTGGCTCATGCCTGTCATCCCAGCACTTTGGGAGGCCGAGGCAGGGGGGGTCGCCTGAGGTCAGGAGTTGGAGACCAGCCTGACCAACACAGTGAAATCCTGTCTTTACTAAAAATACAAAAATTAGCCAGGCCTGGTGGCATATGCCTGTAATCCCAGCTACAGGCATGGGAGGCTACAGGCACTGGGAGGCTGGGACAGGAGAATAGCTTGAACCCAGGAAGCAGAGGTTGCAGTGAGCCGAGATCATGCCACTGCACTCTAGCCTGGGTGACACAGTTAGACTCTGTCTCCCCAAAAAAAAAAAAAAAAAAAAGAGATGGCCAAGTGAAGAGTTGGCTGTGAAGGTCTGTTGCTTAATAATTAGTGGTTTTGTTTTCTTAGTGTTTCATAATGATTGTTGTTTTTTGGTGTAGGCTATTTGGTTTATATTACCATTTATAATGGTTTAGAGCAGTGATTAGCAAACTTTTGTTTAATGTCCACATAGTAAATACTTAAGTCTTATGGAACATATGGTCTGTCTCTATGCAAGTACTCAACTCTGTCTTTACAGCAGCAAAAACAGGCAGTAGATAAATGAATGGATATTACTATGTTTCAATAAAAATCTTACTGCAAAAACAGTTGAGTTTGTTGACCCCCGAATTAGAGAAGTTTTTACCCTTTAAATCCTTGGAGGTACCCTAGTTTTTATGTTCATATCCCTGTCTGTGTACCTTATCTATGGTTCTCAAATTGTGAATCTTGAACTGGCACCTTCACCATCATAGTAGAAATGCAATTTTCCAGCGTATCCAGACTTACAGAACCAGGAACTCTGGGGAGTGGAGCCCAAGGATCTGTTTATCAAGACTTACACACACACACACACACACACACACACACACACACACACACACACACACACAAGACTTCTAAGTGATGCTGATGCATGCTAAAATCTGGGAACCACTACAGCAGAATAGTAGTTCTTGATCCTGGCTACATATTAAAATTACTTGTGAGGTTTTACAAAAAAACTTATTCTAAGAACACTATCCAGAACAATTAAGTCAATATCTGGCTATGAAGACCAGCAAATATATCATTATTTTTAGAATGTTCTCAGATCATTTTCATATGCTGCCAGCATTTAAGAGTCATTGTTTTTATATAAATATCCTGTAATAGGTGATCAATTTCTCCTGAAATTTAAGTTAATTTCAACAATGCACCTAAGGAATTAATATTAGGGGAGTTAAACTGGAATTTAAGTGGAAAGAGAGTTTTCCTGATTTGACAGTCATGGGCAAAATTCTTGTTATAGGATATGGTTTTTGTCTAAAGAAATTGATTATAGGCTTGTTGAAACTAACCTATAGGTCACCTGAAATTTGTTTTCTTTGTTTTGTTTTTGAAAAATGTCTACAAATCCCTTTAAATTCTGGCAAAGGTTGGGAGAAGAAACTTAAAATTTACCTCAAGTCATTCAAAATTTATTAGGAGGTGACTTTTTTTTTCAAACTTAACCATTAAAAATTGAATTGTAGAAGACATTTAAATGATCTATTTTGGCCTCAGAAATCACAAATCCTGTATGGATATTGCCACAGAGTTTGATTTTTTTAAAGTGCAGATGTGTAGCAGTTATTTCTGATTGTACAACTCACATAATTTAATTATAAAGTCCTATCATTCAAATTTACTGACAGCTAATTAAATATAATCTCAATTGTGAAGATTTAGCATTCATTCTACTTAAATCATTTGCTTGAATCAAAAATACTAAAAATTTCAATCGTAGTCATCTTCTTTCCTTGAATTCATGAAATGAAAACTCTCAGCATATTTAAAGCTAGTAATATGCTCAAGAGACATATTCCACATAGATCCATTCGTTCCATTCACTTGAAAGCAAAAATTCCTAACTTCTCTGTGTAGTGTTTTTATTTAACAAGGATTATAAAAATTTTATAAAAATTTTAATGTGTATCATGTTCACAATACATTACAAAAACTTATTTCCCTAAAAATAGAAACATTGATTAAAAATTTGATTATTATACATAAAGAGCTTCAGATCTATTGCAGTTTCCATGTCAAACTGGTTTGAAGAGTTACTAGTTCCATTTAAATCTGCTGCAATAATGATGGTTTGTGTGAGTTATTCAGAAAGCCCAAATTGCCAGATTCTACTTCACTTTGATTCATTTATCTCAACGGAGTTTAAGAGATTGAGGGGTCATTGCAGATGAACAGTGAAAAATTTGTGAAGCACTGTAAATAGTGAAAGGGCAGGCTGGGTGTGATGGCTCATGCCCATAATCCCAGCACTTTGGGAGGCTGAGGTGGGTGGGATCATTTGAGGCCAGGATTCAAGACCAGCTTGGCCAACATGGTGAAATGCTGTCTCTATTAAAAATACAAAAATTAGCCAGCCATGGTGGCAGGCTTCTGTAATCCCAGCTACCCAGCAGGCTGAAGGTGGAGAATCACTTGAACTGGGGAGGCAGAGATTGCAGTGAGCGGAGATCGCACCATTGCATTCCAGGTTGGGCAACAGCAAGACTCCGCCTGAAGAAAAATAAATAAATAAAAGGGCAACAACTTGGAATAAATTGAGGGATATGTTGGAGGAAATAGATTAATAAAACTCTTCAGATTAATTGCATCTTAATCTGGACTAAGAGTGAAGCATTAGACAAGTTTCTTTGTTAGGAACAATGACATTATCAAAGTGTAAGGTTCTTCTCAAATTCATTTGAATCATGTAAAATCCAGGGCATAAACACTAATATAAAATTGCCATTTTGATCAATCCTACTTACTTTTCTTTGGGTATGTCAAGTAAAAATACTCTTTGGGTTAATCTCTTGAGATTTCGTTTTTGACATAAGTTTTCCTATAAAATCTAAATCTTCACTCACTTTTTTTTTTTTTTTTTTTTGAGATGGAGTCTCCTTCTGTTGCCCAGACTAGGGTACAGTGGCATGATTTCGACTCACTGCAACCTCCACCTCCTAAGTTCAAGCGATTCTCCTGCGTCAGCCCCCTGAGTAGCTGGGACTACAGGTGTGTACCCCTACTCATGGCTAATTTTTTTGTATTTTTAGTAGAGGTGGGGTTTCACCATGTTGGTCAGGCTGTTCTCGAAATCCTGACCTCAAATGATCTGCCCACCTCGGTCTCCCAAAGTGCTGGGATTACAGGGATGAGCCACGTTGCCCAGCCTGTTCAGTCTCTTAATTAGTGGATACTTCAATGGCAGATGTAGTTTCCATTTTTGTTTTTATCACCCACTAATGTTGAATAATTTCAAAAAGGATGGGAAAAACTTTTAGGTAAGAGTATGAGGTGCGATCATGTTAAAAAACAGTCATGCAATTCTGATGTTTTTGTTCCTATATATTTCTTATGTAACTTTTTAAGCCAAAATGTAATTTGTATAAAGGCAAATCATCTTGTCTCATTATTAATTCAATACCTACATCTATGGTTTTAAAAGTATAGTGTGCTTCAAAAGCACTCTGATTCAGTAGGTCTGAGACAGAACCAATAATGTGCATTTCTAACAAGTTCTAAGTTAATGTTGATGCTGCTTTGAGACCCTTCCTTTAGAACTAACAGACATCATCAATAAACAAGGAATAGACTACTTAATTTTATTCACTAGGACAAAGCTTACAACTGATTTAAGAATGTGGCTAATTGAGGGTCATAAAACTTTTGTTTTGTTTTTGGCTCTTGGAGACTAAACAAAAGTCTTTGGCTCTTATAGCCTGAGCATATATGGGAATTAAACTCTGATCCACAACCTTTGCAGCAAACAGCTTGGAAAACCAAATCATATATTCTGCAGCAACCAGTCCAAGAAGCTGAACCAAAACCTCTGTAATAATTGGTAGCACAATTCGTTAGATTGGTTAATATTTGGCCAATGAATGCCAGCTTCCTTCTTTTTGGCCCTAGCTTTCAACTCAGGACCAACTAGAGAAAGCCAAATATGCTTCCCAAACCAGTCACATAAGACCGTCTTGCTTCAGGTTAGCATACCTCCAGCTTCCCCATGCCAAAACCTTCAATCAGAGTACACCTGAAGCCTTCCCTATTTTTTCACTGTAAAGTTGTCTTTCCTACTCTCCTGTCTGATGTTGAGTCTCTGCCAAATACAAGTGATGGTAGCTGACCCCCTTCATATAGCAAAGTCTGAATACATAACCTCCTTTCTAATTTTTGTGCTCCGTTTTATTTTCACAGCTCCAGCAGTTACTAACTGATCTTGGGTAACTTAGTTAAATTCTTTATGCTTCAATTTCCTCATGTAAAGAAAAGCTATGGTAATAATTGTGTTCATAAGTTGTTGCAGTTTCGCGTATATCATTATAAGCATCTATAAATTATATTCAATTGATCAGCTTTATAGAGGATCACTAAAAACAATATTCCTTGGTTTAATATACCTGCATTTTTAAAGATTATGTTAAAAGTATAAAATCTATCTGTTCTCTCTTGAAAACTATGCCAGGATAATAGTTAATGAACTTTAAGTGCTGTTCTACAAAATATGTATATACACCAAACTAGAGTTGTTTCTATTTTTGTAATGCTGCTGAGAAACTCGGAAGTATTACTATCTCTACACTTCTTTAAGGCAGATTTTGTTTCTTCAAGGATTTTTTTTGTCAGTGTCGTTATTTAAGAAGCCACCTCAAGTTACTTTAGAGACAGGCAGAGTAAAAACTGAGGCTTATATATAAATGCTTTTTACAAGTAATCTTAATTATATAAGAAATGTATGTTAAAATGAACCATACAGATAAGAAAAAACATTCTTTTGACTACCACCATAAATCTTCATATCCCTTCCACAGGTGACCACCAATATTTTTTTCACAGAAGCAACGATGATGCAAGGTCTGATTTTTTATCTGTAGAGATAGTAGATAAATTGTTTGGAAGAAGGAAGTATAGTGGAGGAGATGATAAACCGCAAATGATGACTGACTTAAACAAATTAGCTTCACTTGTGTCAATCTCTCAGTGAAACTTGTATAAAAATAATGGCTAACACTTATTAGAGCTTATTTATTGCTCTCTACATATTAATGTTCGTATCAACCTTATCTTATAGATAAGGCTCCTAATATCCAGAGAAATCAAGTGAATTTCCCAAGTTTACACAGCTAGTAAGCAGCAGGTGGGATGTGAACACAAGATAAACACATTCGGATACTAAACTCTTAACTTCTATACTCGACTGCTTCTCAAAGAAAATAAATACTCTTCCCCAAATACCAACAAGAAAAATAAAAAGCCTTATGGGAAACATTAAAACAGGTCATGAGAACCTTCCTTCCTTTCCTCCAAGCAACTACTCCTCCTGTATGGCTGAGGAATGATATCACCTGGTTCTCGATATCATTGCAATGGAATTGGTCATATTTTCCATAGATAACAGGACAGCAGTTTCCTCCTCCTCATGAATGTGCTATATAGACTGGCAGCTGTAGGATTTCAAAAAAGCATTCTGTTTTAATCCAACTCATAAAATACATGATAATCTGCATCAAAATGAGCAAGACTAAATATGGAACACTCTTAGCCAAAAGATGGCAGGCATAACTGAAAAGACCCTCTCGGTGCAGTCAGAATTTAACATTTAATTTTGTTATTAGCTCCAGAAGGGCAGGCTGATTTTTCACAGGTGTAAGCAATATACATAATTAATGCCACACCTCAGGACTCCCAGAAAGATCACTGGCCAGCATTAACTGCATACATGCTAGGCTGAAATTAGATCATATCTAGTATGCAATTTTGAAATTACAATTATGAATGATGGGATTCATATATGCATTTGAAAGATGTTATTTCCTTTTGCTTTTAAAAGCAGCTTTAGAAAGCCAACATAACATTCTCTTGAGAAAAAAGAAAAAGCTCTCATTAATCCATGAACAGGAATCACGTAGACTGTTAAAGCTGCGGTGAATGTGAATAAAATTGGGCTGAATAATGACATTTAAAGTAAAACAGAGCTACAATTTATTTGCAGTTGCTGAGCCCTGAATGCACAGTTAAATTGCAGTTATTTGAAACACAGGGTCTTTTCAAAAACAATTGTTTAGCATCAAAACTATTTTCAGACTTGAATTATGTGCAATGAAGATATTGTCTATTTTTTGGTTGGAAGAATGGATTCAAACCATAATTCTTCAGAAGGCGAAAGGGCTCCTAAATGCCAAGTTCAATTTCCAGCATTGCAGCAAATAGAACAAAGGATGACCAACTGGAATTTCACCTGAGTTTTTGTGACCTTACAGCAGACCTGTCTAGCTTTGAACATTATATGATGCCTCTCTTCTTATTACTTTCACCATATTATTTCATCAACCCTGACTTCTTCAGGAAGATGGTATGCCAAAATTCAGTAGGTTGATCTGAAACCAGTAGAGACCCAAGTGGTATGCTCTCTGATTATCTTTGGGAAGAATTCTCTCCCTTGCTCAAATGGGAATTCAAAAGTAGCCCTTGTGATTGGATAGGTCAATGGTAAAGTGAAACTTTTCACCTTGTAATTTCTCTTATTCCTGTAAACAATCCTGGTGCAGAAGAAATACAGTGATATTACAGATCAGCCAATTGGGAATAGTTTGCTATTACTGGAAATAGATTAGTATTGTTCTAACTAAACGTGAACAAGAGGAAATCATTACAATATGGGTGATTGCAGCATGCTAAATTTTGTGGCTATAGTATAGGGAAAATGTAATTGAACACATGCAGATCAAAGCTGTGGCTGATACCACTTCATTAAAAGAAATCCCACCTGGTTCACTCTCTGTCCAACTAAGTCAGTTACAAATAATCACTAACACTGACAAATTATATTTATTGAAGGTCTTTACTTCAATAACGTTATCTCTATCATATTTTAACTTTTTACTTTAATGAGATAATTGTCACGTAATATAAATGGTTTTATGAAAGATTCATTGATTTATGCATTTATTAAAAATATTTTAGAAACTTAAATTTTTGAAAAAAACTTGCTGAGTTCCAGGGACTGTTCTAAATGCTACCAACATATAAGTAAAATATCAACAAGTGCTAAAAAGAAAAGAAAACAGGGTTTAGGAAATAGAGTGATGTCGGCCAGGGCTATTTTAGATTAGTGTCAGGGAAGTATTCTCTAAAAAAGTAACATGAATTACATGTCCCATGAATAGGAAAAATACTCCAGATGAAAGGAATAATAAGTTTAATGTCCCTGGCATGGAAATAAGCTAACATATTTCGGGAAATTAAAAAAAAAACACAAACAAAATTCCTGGGAGGCAGGGGGATAGGGTAGAGAGACATAAGAATAGGTTGTATAGGTTTTCTGAGGCAAAATCTTATATGACTTTGTCAGCTTTGAAAAGAGGTTTCAATTGTATCTGAAATGCAGTGAGAAGGCACTTAAAAAGTGACATGATCTGATTTATATATTTGGACCATCAATCTGATTGTTATTTGCTGAGTAGACTTTGGGTTGGGGAGGCACGCATGCAACCAATGATACCAATTAGAAGGCAAATAAAGTAGAGTTCTCTTCTGATTGCTTGTATCTCTGCAGTAAAATAAAAGCAAAACATTGGGTACTAGTGGGAGGGGGGAAGGATCGTTGCAGGTATAAGGAGAGAGGAAAAGGAATGAAGGGATTATTTGGGAAACTGGAGTGGTGAGTTGATCAAGGAGATATGGTAGATCTATCTATGCTGAAGGAGATTTAAGAATAGAGATTATAAAATTAAAAGGATTATAGTCAGTTCCTCCAATTCATTTGTTACTGGAGAACAACTGAGAAAAACAACAGCAAATTGAGTCCAAACTGATAAACTTGCTTGAGTCAATAATTTTCTCTCCCTTTTGTGATTCTTTCCAAGGTAGTATCAAAGAGCCCTCCTCCAGGGCTCTCTGGTCAGGTCTAAAAATTCAGAAGTGAGTCCCATCCAAACACTCAAGATGTTAAATGTAGTGTCACTACATGGTAACACTCCATGTCAGGCCTCTTCTATACTATTTCTATCAGCTCATCGTTTCACTAGAGTTCATGGAAACTCATGGACAACCTATTTGCTGGTCACATGGCACAGTGAGTCAGGATTCCTGCATCAAGCCTGTCTATCACGGTGTCTCTCACAGCAATTTCCATTTCATTGCTTCTCAAATATCATGGTGCATATCCACAATCTCAGTTTCCAAAGATATGTAGCCTCCTCACAGTGTGCCCTAAAAAAACAATTATCTTCAGTTAATATTTACTTCCCTATATTTATATAGATATTGCCAAGCCCTTCCCTTTCAAGCTGCAGTCTCACAGAAGAGCAATGGTGATGAAGGTTGCAGCTGGTGGCAGGAACACTGACATTTTCTCTAATTGCTCTTCTTCAAACTGGCCTAAAGTTAAACTGTAATTTAGTTACCAGATTGGACTCTTGAAATATTAAGGGAATTAAACATTTTCAGAAACTCTTTAAAATGTCTAAAGAAATAAACAAAAAAGTGCTTTTCAAGACTCTTATGTGTTACTAGCGATATTTAGAAACTCTGCTTTGAACTCTGAGCTGGTCAGTGGCCTCTTAGTTCCATGGTATATAAGCATTAGAGGTGGACATAACCAAGGAATTATGAGTTTAGTAGAAAATAATATATAGTCTTTTTTTTAAGGCCCTAAATATTAACCCCTTTTCAAGGATAATAATTTGAGGGTTTTTTTCCTATTTAAGTTACAAAATGAGAAGAAAGCTGGAAAAGAGGTGGTATTTATTGTATTAGATTTATTTTTAGGATGAGCAAAGAAAGTTTATCCCAGTTGCTAATTGAATAAGTATTTTATATTTACATGCATGGCTAAAACAGAAATAGGAAGAATTGAGCATTTTGTAAATTAGACACAAGGAATAAATATATACATAAAAGCATATTGCAACATTAAATGAGATCATACAGCACAGAAGCACAGCCTTCTGAATCATTCAACTTCTTTTAATATTCCATCTATGTCAATTATTAGCTCTGTATTTTCAGCAAGTTGATTTACTTTTCTTGACTTTAGTTTGTATGACTCTTAGAAGGTATAGTGATATTGTGAAAATTAAATGAGCTAAATAGAAATTACTGCCACCAGAGTTGCTGTCATTATTATTAATTTATCATAATTTAAAAGACCTCATGTATCAAAGATTTTGCAATTTAATAATGTAAATAAGGCAAACATTTGGCCAACACATTAGTGTCAAATGATCCATTGTATGAGATATAAAAGACGAATTTATAGGAAAATAATTCAAGATTCTCATAGATATGCTAAAATATAAATTTGGATCAAAGACACAATCAATAAACAACACCCCCACCCCTGCCATGTGTTAACACAGAGCTAGTGAAAACCTTTCACAGAGGGCTATAAACAAATTTCAAACCCATAAGGTTGCCAGACATATTCTTTCTTATATGAAGACGGAGGGTTATGAAAGGCAGAAGCTTTTCTTCCGTAGCAATATTTGGACTCTGTTTTGCCTGCAGCTCATTGCTGCTTTAAATAGAAAGTCAGGGAGATGCTCTCCTTAGGCAAGAGCATCTTGGCCAGGAGTTTTTCAGTGTAATCATCTTTGTTTATGAGGACCCTAATTATGTGACATACCCTTAATGGCTCTTCTTTCTCATTACTGTTGACCCCAATCCTCTCTGACTTGTCCCACCAGCATCATAAAGCTTTTCTAAAAAACTCCCCCCGGCTGAATTTCCGTGGCTTTCACTCTGGTATTCAACAATGCAAGGAGCATAGTTGTGTTCCATGGAAATAGTCTTTTATTCCACTGATATCATGTAAATTCTGAAGGATGAAATGTGATCTTTTAGTGATCTTGCAGAGCTGAGAACCCAGAATGATCTAATATATTTTGTTGAGTGAGCTTCATCGAACCATTATTAATTTCTTTATATTTTTCTCATGCTCTAAATATCCTCAGAATTCCCTGAATTATTATTCTACCTATTTTCTAGTGAAGAAGAGAGCATGTTGTAGAACAATTCAGTTTTCTCTTGTTGCATTTGAAGTTCTTTGCCTTGTATAAGAACTCCAGACATAATTTATGAGCACAAGGCTTGGAGTTTGATTATTTTAAAGCAGAGCAGCAATGTGTCTGCACAGAATCCACAGCTGCTGTAGCTGCACATTTGCATCTGGACTCACCTCACCCACACTAAATCTGCTGCACCATCAAGCTCTTTTGAAGTCAGAGTTCTTTGGGTGTTGGTACTCAAATCCAAGTCACTGGAATAATTTAAACATAACTCAAAAAACATACTGTTTTACATGTTTTCCTGTAGCCCATACTAGGGATCATACGTAATTCATATGTTATTCTATGATAAGTGGAAATAGACTGTTGCTCATTTCTATAAGTGAAACACCTAATTAACAAAGTGATTAATTCTCTTTCCTATACTGATTATCAATGTGACATTATGTTTCAGAGAACATTAGGCTTCAATTGATTTCTCTTTGCATGGGCTACTGTGTATTTATTTTCAACATATTGGGGTTAAACATTTAAAAATGTATTTTTAAACTGTGAACATTCAATAACCTAACAGATGTTGTTCAAATATATGGAGTGAAGAGATATTGATTAAAGAAAAGGCACCAAGAAGCATATACACACATACATGTTGCAGTCATATTAGTATAGTAGTGGATTAAATAAATTGTGATTTCCCTTAAATATGCCTCAAGGTATCATCCCACTGTAACTGAACACAGAATCCCCAATGCATTATGACTATCAAAGAGCAAAGCAAGGCTATCAGTTCTCAGCCAAAATTGGGGAGTATAATAATATTCATGTGATATGCATACTATATTTGAATAGAAATATTGACACACCGGAACACATCCAGTGGAGAAAAGTCAGGGTGAGGAGCTAATGGAAAGAATTTAAACCTGCTTATTTCTTTTTTCTGGGAAGAGAGAAGGCTCAGTACAGACATGATAGCTACCTTTTATATATTTGAAAGAGTATTGTGTGAAAAAATAATTTATATGTCTCATTAAATTTTGAAGGAAAATCTAGGACAAATAGGTAAGTGTTTGAATAAAGCAGATTTAAGGAAAAAATAACCATTGCAAACAATTAGAGTTGTCCAGTAATGCAATGTATGAAAAGACACTGAGTTTCTTATCACCAACAGCATTTAAATTTGGACTTCAGAAAATGCTATTGAGTATATTCAAACATCCTAATGGGAAGCTGGCCAAGATGACCCCTAATGTTCTGTGTGACCCTGAGATTTGTTTATTTAGGATGAAGCCTGTTTGGTAACAATCTAAAATATTGCACCCATCTGGGGTATGAATATTTTAATCCAAACATATTTACGGATCAATTACTCTATTTTGTCTGGAATAGACCAAGTGTACAAGTTTATAGTTAGTTTTCTAGCACAGTTATAAATAGGGAACAGTTTCACTTTAAATACTGTTAAGATTGAACAAAAAATCTTACAGCTACACTAATTATATTGGTCGTTATTTCAAAGGATTTAAAATATTTGTATTCACAAGATACGATAGATAAATTATTTATAGCCCCTGGTGCCTAGCATGTTAAAATAATGGATATACTTAAAATTAATATTTATGTTAATATAAGAATAATATACCATATATTTTAATACTTTTACCTATGGGAAGTAATAATATCACAATGATTATTTTAAGATCTCAAGGTAGTCTTTTATTAAGAACTTTAATGTATGTAAAGTCTGCAAAATGCTCAGGAAAAAAGTGGGTAATATTTTACCTATAAAAAGTGAAATTTTAGAGATGTTAGAAGAATGGCCTATAAAATATTCTGTCTGGAAACAGATTTTGGATGGAGGTATAGAAAAACAAACTTTTTTGTCCAAGAATTTCCATTTTTATCATGGTGCTTCAGGGTTTAGGATTTAGTCTGTACACCAGATGTACTTATAAACAGCCACCTAAACAATATTCACTTCTACTGTATAACGTCTTTATTCATTTCCCCTTGGTACACTTTTAGCATTAATAATGTAGAATAAAGTTACGGTTCGATTTGTGAAGTAGGGCTGATTGAAATATCAATTGCCGAAAGACTTAAAAGCAAAAGGAACTGTGGGATCACTTGATGATATTGAAAGTAGAATTGGTTTAATTAACTGAGTAAAATTTGGAAAGGCATTTTTTTTTTTTTTTTGAGATGTAGCATCGCTTTGTCGCCCAAGCTGGAGTGCAGTGGCGCGATCTCAGCTCACTGCAAGCTCCGCCTCCCTGGTTCCCGCCATTCTCCTGCCTCAGCCTCCCGAGTAGCTGGGACTACAGGCGCCTGCCACCACGCCCGGCTAATTTTTTTGCATTTTTAGTAGAGACAGGGTTTCACCGTGTTAGCCAGGATGGTCTCAATCTCCTGACCTTGTGATCCACCCACCTCGGCCTCCCAAAGTGCTGGGATTACAGGCGTGAGCCACCGCGCCCGGCCTGGCAAGGCATTTTTAAAAACATAAGAATGATTTTATTCTACACAGGATGTTTGATATCGTAAAATTAGATATTTGATGTTTTCTTTATATAACATCTATAATACACTTTCAAGAGAGTTTACTTTTCAGTATGACAAATAATAAAGGAATAGCGAACAAGCAAGACCTGTTTTCTTTAAGAAGGCTTTATGAAAAAAAATGATTCTTCTTACTCTTTGACTTATTCATTCGATAATATTGCATATCCTCCTTATGCCTGGCAGTATCCTAGCTGCTGAGGTAATAACTGAATACTCTGGGACACATAATATAATAATTTACATACATTAACGCTTGTAATCTATATACAAATACTGCATGAGAACATCCTGAGCTGCTATTTAATCTTGGAAAGTATGGCTCTAAACTCTATATTGTTAAGTAATTTTGCATAGCTGTAGTTTCATAGAGATGAGACCACAGTTTCGAGTACTTGCTTAATGTGTCTTATAATTTATGTGTATATCATTTCTTCAAATTATTTTATTATCTTTCTGAAAGGTTGCAGCAAAGGTTGTTCTGTGGTTGTTATTGTGTGTTGCTGGTTTATGTGTATAACTTGGAAATATTTGGTAAAACTTACAGTGAAAAAATAGAAATGCTATATTGAAATGTCTGTAGGTCAGCATAATGTGAAATATTTTGTGAGTATAAAATAAAATAAATGAGGAGGAAATCTCTATCAAAGGGTAGAGAAAGGCCAAGAATAAGAATGGGTCACGGAACTAATGAAAGAGCAGAACAATTCATTGTATGTATTTGCCATGTAATATTTTGCCATATTCAATAGTGATCAAATTTTGCTGAGTAACCATATCTTAACTGTGATCACATTACATGAGGTTAAGAATGAAATTACGATGAAACATGCTTGAAAAAGAATATATTAGGCTTAGAACCTATTGCGTTCATGACAATTCAATATGCATATGGAAGAACTGGCAGAGTTCTTAATAAAAATGTGACCAAGTGAGTGTACAATAAAAGAACACATTATCGTTTGAGATACTCATTAGTGATGCTTTCTTGACTGTGATGAATGAAATTGGTAGTGCAAATTTAGGTTGCAGAAATATAACTGGACATATCAGAACTGGAATATTACATTCCATAATGGTCACTCTATTTTAGAAGGGAAAGAGACAAAACTACTTCTATTCAAAACCCAATTAACAAGGTAGTTTGAAAATATAAAACTGTAGCACATGAGGACTGGTTTAAAGAAGAAAAACTCAAGGATCACGAGAATTATATTCAGATGTTAAGAAGATACATGTGTAAATACTACAATGAGATAAAATGTAACACTATTAAAAACTTATTAACTGTTTAAATTACCTGAAATTGTGTTTGGTTTCTTCAAAGTGAGGGAATTCCAATCTAAAGGTATCTTAATGGCCACTCGTTTGGATGCTGTGAAGAAGATTCAAGCATTAAATGAGTGGTAGAGCCATAGACTAGTACTATTGTTTTTCCAAAGAAATGCGATGATGGGCAAAACATTGAAAATGGAGGGATTCTCCAACAGGGGATAAATTGAATGTGATGAGGAGGAGCAAGTGCTAATCTTTAAAAAATGTTCTCAGTTGGAAAGTATAAATGAAGAAAAGAAGTATTTTAAAGAAGTGAAGAGAAATGAACATGTGGAAGCAAAATCAGGAAAATATAGTTCCCTAAAAGTCAAGATACAAGAGAATTTTGAGAAGGATATCATTGAAAGCCTTCAATTCTAGAATAATATAATTCCTTCATAATTCATTCATTTTCTTTTTTTTCTTTTTCTTTTTTTTAGTCAACAAAGACTTACAAAACTCTTACTGTGTGTGCAAGGAACTGTAAAGCATTGGGCTTTAATATTAAAACAGATAAATGCCTGCTCCCTTATAGCTTTTAGCCGTTGTGGTAGAGATTATACAACTAATTTCATAATTTATTACTTAACAACAATAGTACAACATAAAATGTAGGAATTGAAGTTGTTAGGAAAAAAATGTAAGGGTTTATGAAATAATGGAGTATCTAACCCAATCTGGTTCATCATTTAAGGCTTCTTTGAACATAGAACAATTAAACTAAGCACTGATGTATGAAAGGGAGGCAGTTAGGCAAATTAAGTGGAGGGGAGAGTTTGTTCAGGGAATGGAAAAGATCCAGTGTCAGGGAGTTCAGAGAATGAGAGAAAGGATGGCTTGAGATGAAATGGTAAGATCAGGGATTTTACCTTTACTCTAAATGAAAAGTCCTTTAAACAGGAGCTTGAGGTCAATCTGTATTTGTAACAACCGCTCAGACTGCACTTGGGGAAATAGTAAGGTGGAGAAGTAGGAAGGGGAAAAAGGTGACTGAAGAAAAACTAGCTAAGATATCATTTTAGAATTTCAGGGAAGAGACTGATACTTTGGCCAAGGAAAGTAACAGTAGAAGTGGAATAAGTGCACCACCTTCAAGAGATTTATAAGAAGAAATTTTAATTGGAAAGAAAGAAAAAAGACAAAAAGGAATTATAGTTGCTGAAAAGAGAAGTGATAAGATTGGAAATGCGGCTTCTGGGAAGGCAGCAGGAGACGAAATGCAGAGCTTTGAAATATACAGGCAAGAAAAATGGGTGGGTGGTTAGGTGATTTAAAAAAGAGTTATTCACTTTACAAAATGAATTACAGTACGTTTTCTTTTCTGGAAACTGCTCTTTCATGATGTTCAGAAGAGGACAGGGTTTATAAACATTCCAGCTGTATACCATAAAGGCAAAGTAAGGCACACCCACTGCCTTTTCTGTTCCTGCATTGAGTCACCAGAGGTTTGGAGAGCAATGTATGACCAATGTATGGAAAGCCTGGTACCATTTCTTATAGTACCTGAGTTATCACTATCATGTCCCTACATAAATGCTAACGTAGAATCACTCTGGCTTTTGAGTTCCAACTCAATGAAATCTTTAAATGACGTGGTTCTAGGACCAGTGCTTAGAAAAGGAAATTGAATACATATTTGAAGAAGGCTGATGTAGAGAGGGACGATGGAGAGTGCTTGATGAGAGAAATGTAGATAACAGGGATAATAACATATAAAGGCATCATCAGTAGTACAAACCACGATTTCAGGAAATTTTCAGTGACTGAGCCTAACAGAAGAGTTTAAAGGGAAATATCAAGAGCTTCCTTCACCTATGGCAGTTTAAATTGACCATGTGCTAGAAAACAAAATAGATACCTACATACAAAAATATGAAGGAATTGGACTTTACATAGTGTTATAAATGATCATCTTGAAAAAGAATTCACCTAGTATGAAAGATAACAACTAATTATTTTAACATTGAGTTTCAGATAAAAGACGATACAACTATACACTACCCTCCCAACCCCCATCACAAAAGCATCAGAGATATACCTGCCTTTCCTGGTTCTGAGTGTAGTCCACATAGTTTCCAACCTCAGCTATTCCACGTCTTTCTTTGCATCTTCTCTTCTGCCTGCATAAGTCCAGAGGTGGGCACCATAGGGCACATCTATATGACAATAAAATCTGATTCTGCCCTTTTATTTCAAGATGCAGATGAGTCAGCACAGCGAGGTGTTCTCGAGGAACCTGTACCTACACTGGCTGGCTAGCAGCAGCCTAACTGTAATTGGTAATTGTTACGAACCGTTAAGATGTATTTCACTAATCCTAAATTTACTGTGTCCACATTATCAACTTCTCTTAGTTGGACCTCCAAAATGACTTTAGCCACTTTAATGCCAGCAGAGATAAGGGGAAGAACTGTGACAAAAGGGCCGTCAGAGTAGAAAGATGAGAGGTCTTCAAAAACAAAAAAAAATTGGGCTGAGGGAAGAAGCCAAAACGTACAAATAAAAGCTTTAATTCAAGCAAACTGTAAAAAGACAGTATTCAGGTTATTAGGCAAAGTTAAATGAAAACTTGGCCTATGTGGCAAATATGTATGACATCACCCACTTTTGATTTTTTGTTGTTGTTGAGACAGAATCTTTCTTTGTTGCCCAAGTTTAGTGCAGTGGTTCAGTCTCCACCTCCATTCACTGCAACTTCTGCCTCCCCAGCTCAAGAGATCCTCCTGACTCAGCCTGCTGAGTAGCACCATCATGCCCAGCTAATTTTTGCGTGTGTGTGTGTATATATAAAATATATGTATATGTATGTATGTATATAAGTATGTATGTACATATGCCTATATACATACGTACATATACATATATTTTATATATAGACACACACGCAAAATGTATGCATATATACATACATACATATATATATACACACACACATATTTGTAGAGACAGAGTTTTGCCATGTTGCTCAAACTGATCTTAAACTCTTGGACTCGAGTAATCTGCCTGCCTCAGCCTCCTGAAGTTTACTACATTTTTAAAATGCCCTACATTATCTTCTGTTTTGTCAAACTCATCTTAGGCCAATTTTTTTATTGCTCCAGTGTTTTAGCTCTAGGGAGTTCTTTGCGTTCCGACAAACTGCTAAAGTCATTCTTGCATCACCGTGTCCCCCAGTGCCGTCTCTCTTTGGTAACTCTCACACATGGCACTGAACCCAATACTTTAATGTTTCAGCAAGATCTTCTGCATATTTCTCAAAGCTATATTTTGTTACTTAACGTCTCTCATAGCACATTTTTACATCCTAGAACTTATCGCTTGTTATTGCTATATCTTTGTTTTGTGTTTATTTTATTTTTTGAGGCACGTGTCACCGAGGCTGGAGTGTGATGGCATGATCTCGGCTCACTGCAACCTTGGCTTCATGGGTTCAAGAGATTCTCGTGCTTCAGCCTCCTGAGTAGTTGGGATTACAGGCGTGTGCCACCATGCCTGGCTAATGTTTTTGTATTTTTAGAAGAGACTTAGTTTTGCTATGTTGGCCAGGCTGGTCTCTAACTCCTGGCCTCAAGTGATCTGCCTGCCTCAGCCTCCCAAAGTGCTGGGATTAGAGGCATGAGCTGCCACACTCAGACTATTTTGTGTTCAGTTGTAAGAATCTGCACTAGAATAAAAGGTGTCTTAGGTGGAGTGCTGTGTCTCTTTTGTTCTTTGTTATATGACCAGTACCTAGAACACTGTTGAATACATAAAAAGGTGCCCAATAAATATTTTCTTGAAGAAACAAAATGCCATTTTATAAAACACACCTAAAAGTGATGTTAAAGTGAGGACACATGATTAATACAAAATGCTTTTGGAGATGAACTAATTCACCTCCTCTACTTCACTATACAGTAGTCCCCCCTTATCCACGAGGGATAATTTCAAAGTCCCCCAGTAGAGGCCTAAAATGTGAATAGCACTGAACCCCGCATATACTGTGTATGAATTTCTTTTTCCTCCTTCACAGTTTCAAGGGTAGAAGATGCATTCTTACCATAGATCTCAGCAACATCAGCATACGATTTCTTCTTTTCTTATTATATTGAGAACTTTTGCCTTTTCACTTAAAGGAAGCTTCACTTTTTGAAGCTTCTCTTTGGTATATCTGATTTGCCAGTGTCACTACTCTCATCCCTTGGGGCCATTACTAAGTAAAATAAGAGTTACTTGAACAGAAGCACTGTGAAGCCCCAACAGTCAACCTGATAATCCATGAGGCTACTGCGTGAATAAGGGGTGGATAGCATATATAGTGTGGATACGTTGAACAAAGAGATGATTCACGACCCTGGTGGGACACAGTGAGATGGTGTGAGATTTCATCACACTACTCAGAATGGCATGCAACTAAAAGCTTATGAATTTTTTATTTCTGGAATTTTCCACTTAATATTTTTGGACTGTGAAGTAACTCAGGAATGGAAAACCAAGCATCATATGTTCTCATTGATATGTGGGAGCTAAGCTATGAGAACACAAACGCATTATACGGATACAATGGACTTTGGGGGACTTGGAGGGAAGGGTGGGAGGGGGTGAGGGATAAAAGACTACAAATATAGTGCAGCATATACTGTTCGGGTGATGGCTGCACCAAAATCTCAAAAATCACCACCAAAGAATTTATTCATGTAACCAAATACCACCTGTACCCCAATAACTTCTGAAAAATATTAAAAGAAAAGCAAAACCACAGATAAGAGGTGACTACTATATTCTAAATATTATGTTGGCATCATCACAAAAAGCAGGTCTGGTAGTATGTGGAAATATCTTTCTAAATGTAATTGTTTTCTAAGTTTTAACATAAAGTTTTCAATAATAAATGCCCAAATAGTTTTTGGAGATGCAAACATTGAATATTCAATTTTGAATGCATACACATCTCTTCCTTCCCTGCTTCTTTATAGACTGAGCACCAACAACAAATTATGGGACAAAAGTTATTTGCAAACATACATATCTAGGCTTGCCAGTAATTTAAGGAAATGGAAATGAAAGCGACCTCTTATCTTCAATAAGAAATGGATTGAAAACTCCCACAAGCCCTCTTTATTTTCCTTTCATTAAATAGGTTTTTGTGAATGTGGCTTCAGCTGGGGCAAAGAATAATTCCTTGTTTCGTAGAAGTTGGCCTGACATGACAGAGATTTTTGTCATGGGGATTGGGAACATGCTACTTTGTCTGCTTTAAAGAATATTGATTTAGAGCATTTTCTCCCAGAGTCACCAGGTGGGACACTTACAGAAGGATGTGGACAAAAGCACAGGTTGCCCTAATACAACCCTGCAGAAAGATAATTAGTAGTCATGGAGGAGGGAAGTGAAAATGAGATGGAGAGGAATCCTTGCCCTGTAAATTATTCTTGTCTTTGCACTTGAAATTATTTGGTTGTCAGAAGAAGGAGAAATCTCATAGGTACTTGCAGTCTTTACAAAGACACATTCATATAAGCTCCCTAGACAAATGAAATAACCACAAACCACCCAAGGAAAGTTTCACATATTAGTATAAGGTAGATAATTAAGTAATTTCAATGAGACCTATTTGTCTTTATACCCCAAATTAGAACTTCTGGACATGTTGACTTTCTGGAAATTATATTTCTTTTTTATTAAGAAAATATGGAATGTTCAAAGTGGAGCAGAACTGTTATTTTGGTATATTTATTATTGTATCTAACAATGTACTCATTTATTCCAGTTATGTATGGTTTTTTTCATGAAAGAAAATTTACCCACTTAAATTTATAGCTCACTAAATTTTGGCAAATGTACACAGCGATGAAACAACCACCACAACAAAGATAGAATAGTTTCATCATTCCATCCATCTATTATATGAAAAAGTTCCATATTTTTATCTTGTCCTTTGGCAATGAATTCCTTCCCAACACTCTAGCCCTAGGCAGCTGTTAATTTGCTTTCTGTCACAGTAATATGGCCACTCTAGAATTTCATATTAAGGGAATTATACATGTGCTGTTGTTTTTAATTATTGTATTTAGCTTAATTTTTATATTTATCCATGTTGTAGCATTTATTAATACTTTGTTCTTTTTATTTTATTGGTCAATAGTATTCCTGTGGGATGTGTGAGTGTGTGTGTGCACCAATTTGTTTATTTATTCACCATTTGATGAATGTTGTTATCCCTAATTTGAGATGAATATGAACAATGCTGCTAAGACTAATCATTAAAACACCTATGAACAGTCATATGCTTTTTTGCCTTTGGTAGTTGCTAAGAGTAGAATACCTGGGTGGTATTTTATATGTATTTAACTTTACAATACTACCATAATGTTTTCCAAAATGGCTGTATTTTATATTCTCACTAGTAGTGCTGACTTCATAAAATGAGGAAGTATTCCCTCTATTTTTTGTGAGAGATTTTGTAGAATTGATATTGTTTCCTTCTTAAATGTTTGATAGATTTGCCAGTGAAACCATCTGAAATTAGAACTTTCTTCTTTGGGAGGGTTTTTAATGACACATTTAATTACTGATATAGGTTATAAATATCTATAGATAGATTTATATAATACATAATACCTATAACCTTATGCGTGTGTGCATATATACATACACATACATGGTTCTCTCACTATTTGGGTATTCTATTTTTTATAATTTTGATAATTTACATCTTTTGAGGCATTGAATTTTATTTAAGTGGTTGAATTTGTAGGTATATGGGTTTTCCATAATATTTTCTGACTATATTTTTAATATCTTTGAGATTAGTTGTAATGTCTGATTTTTGGTCCTAATTTCGTAATTTATCCCTTTGTTCCCCCACACCGTTGGCCAGCCTGTCAGGAAGTTTATAATTTTTGTTGAGTTTTAAACAAGAGTACTTTTGATTTAATTGATTCTATTTTTGTTGTTGTTTTCATTAGTTTGTGTTCTAACCTTTATTATGTATTTCTTCTTACTTCCATTGGATTTAATTTGCTCTTCAGTATCTAAAGTGGAAGATTTGGTTACTGACTTTAGATCTTTCTTTTTGTCTTTAAAAGCATTTAATGCTATAAACTTCTCTCTAAGCACTGATTTAACTCCATCCCATCAGTTTGATATGTTGTATTTTCAGTTTCACTCAGATCAAAATTTTTTAGTTTTCTATTTAGACTTATACTTTTCCCTGTGGGTTACATAGAAATAAATTGTTTAATCAACAAGTATGTGAGAAGTTATTTCAATTGCAATTTTAAGACATATTTTGAATTATTTGTATTCCTTTAAATTTGTTAAGATTTGTTTTATGACCCAAAATATGGTCTATCTTTGTGCATGTTTCATTTGCACTTGAGGATAATGTATATTCTCCTGTTGTTTGAAATGTACTATAAATGTTAATCACGTCAAGTTTATTGATCATTTTATTTAGATCATCTATGTCTATTTTCTGCCTACTTGTTTTATCGATTATTTGAAGAAAAGGTGGTGATTTCTGCTAAAATGATTGTGGATTTGTCTATTTCTCCGTTCAAATCAATCAGCTTTTGCCACATGTATTATTAAGCTCTGTTGTTAGTTTTTTGTGCATATAGAATTTTTATGTCTTGGAGAATTTTATGTCCCTTTCTACCCTTGATTATTTTCCATGTTCTGAAATCTACTTCGATTGATGTTAATACAGCTACTCCATCTTTCTTTTGGTTAGTGTCTACATGGGTTTTCTCATCCTTCTATGTTTTTAAAAAATAAACTTTTCTTTGATGATGATTTTAGATTTGCCAGGAATTGCAATATATAAATATTGCAAATACAAAGAGTACCCACATATCTCTCACTCAATTCCATTTTACCTTACCAGAGTTTATTTTAAAAATCTTTGATACCAACATTTGTTATTTTCCAAATTTTATTTCCCTGTCCCAGGATCCAATTCAGGATATCGCATTTATCTAGTCACCATTTCTCCTTAGTCTCTTCTGGTCTGTGGCAATTTCTGTCTTTCCTTGTTTCTCATGTTGTTACTAGACTTTATAAATCCTGGCCAGACATGTGTAAAATGAGTCTTAATGTGGGATTGTCTGATGTTTTCCTCATTGCTAGGCTGGTATTATGAATTTTAGGGAAGAAAACTGTAGAACTGAAGTGCCCTTCTCATCCTAACATATCAGGGAGTACATGACATAAACGTGATGTACTGGTGATGCTAACATTGATCACTTGGTTAAAGTTGTGCTGATATGTTTCTCCAGTATAAAGTTACTATTTTTCCACTTTGTGTCTTCTATTCATTGAAAACAAGTCACTAAATCAAGCCCACACTCAAGGCTGGGACAGAATATGGGTTAAACTAAACTTCCAGGAGTTGAAACATCTATATATAGGATGTGAAATTTTATGATGCTGCTCTGTCCTCTCTCTCCCATTCATCCATCTATCTATGTATCTATCATCTATTTTCATTCATTGATTTAATCATTTATTTCTAAGTATATTAATATTTATTTTGCACTTTTTGTTGTAATCTAATAACACATTCTTTTTTTTTCAACTTGTTCTAGCTTTGACCATTGGGGACTTCTTCAGGTCTTGTTTATTTCTCTAGTAATATGTTCTCATTATGTTGTTTTTTTGAGCATCCTTTTCACTTTAACCTTCCTGTATCTTTATATTAAAAATGGGTTTCATGTACATAATATATAGTTGGATATTGTTTGTATCCAAACTGATGATCTTTGTCTTGTAACTGTTTGTGGAGACGATTCACATTTAAAATGTACCCCCTTTATAGTTTATTTGCACAATTTTTTCATTATGGTTTCCTTTCATTTTGCCTTATCTTAGTTTAATTGGTAATTATTATGCTTCCATTTAACCTCTTTTCTTGACATATTATTTGTATTGCTCTAGGTTTCCAGTAAATATATTTAAAATAATCTGGAATTATGTGTATCTATGACCATCTGATGTTAAAGACTTCGAAAGCTTTCTTTTTATTTTTTTCTTGTATCTTTTCATTTCAATTTGATAATTTATCCTATCCTGTTATCACTGATTCACTCTTTGGCTCTGAGTATCCTGATGTGCTTGAAAAAGGCATTCTTCATTTCTGTTACTGTGTTTTCAATTTTAATTTCCATTCTATTCTTTCTTATATTTTAATTTTCTACTGAAGTTACCTTTGTTCACATACGTGCTATCTATTTTTTCCATAAGGGCTTTTGACTTTATAATCAGTTGTTTTAAATTTACTTTATTATAATTATAACATTTATATCATATCTGAGTCTAGTTATAAAGATTTCTTTATCTTGTCTATGTGTATGGCTTGCAATTTTTCCTGGAAACTGGACATGGTGTATTGGACTGTAGATACCGAGGTCAGTGAAGTTTATGCTTGGAAATGAGTACATCATTATTTCTGTAAGGACCCTAGTGTGGAACATTGTGTTATAGTCAGGAGTTGTGCTTGGTTCAAACATTGTTGCTGATATGGTTACCTTCAGTGCAGCAGTTTCAAATAGTTCTAGTGATACCTAGTGTTTATGTTGTGGATTATAACACTATTATTTTTACAAAACGTGCTAGCATGGCAGTGGGGTACACAGGAGAAAGGAGCATTTTCTAATGTTCTGATCAAACTTGCACCTTAAAGAAGCACAGTAAAACTGAGTATGGGAGTAATGCACTGTTTTATTAATCTTCACAGAAATGACATGTCAGTTAGTTACACAATGGTAACATCTTAGCTAGAAAACTGGGGGAATAGAGAGGATTGGGGGGAATATTTATATGAATGTTCCAAAGTTACCTTGGTGACATAAATATAATCTCTGTATTGTGTACTAGAAACATAATATATAAAGTATTATGTGAAAATTATAATAAATAAGTTATAGGTACAATTACTGAGTAATAATTTTATACTGTTTATATAACAATTAATAGAGTAGTTTGTTTGTAAGTACCAGGGTCACTAGCCAAAACAGTAAAGATTTCTGTTTCTGTATCCCTCTTAAACTTTTACTGCCTTCCTATCAAGATCTCCCGTGATCAGTTTTCAATACTTAGTTGACCTGTCAGCTGATTTGACATGATTGATCACTTGTGTATTCTTGAAACTATTAGGTCACCTCATTAGCCACTTTTTACATTTCTTCTTATTAGTTGCTTTTTAAAAAATCTCAAGAGAGAATAATGTTAACAGGATTGTGGAATAGGATTTTTCAGATTTCATCCCCTTATATAAACACCAATTTTGACAAAAAACACAGACAAGAGTGCCTTATGGGAGGCTAGGAGTCCACCAGGGAGATCTCAGCACCTTATTGGAGTAGAAAATTTGAGAATAGATGTATTTAAAAGAGGGGAAGCAGACAGTTTCACTTTACTTGCATTGCCCTTCTCTCAAGGCATCACAGCTCACTTGGACCCTTATCTCACACTGTATACGAAAATCAACTCAAAATGAATTGAAACTATGGCATGAAATTTGAAGCTTTAAAACTGCTAGGAAAAAACAGACAATTTCATGGCATGGGTCTCAGCAATGATTTTTTGGATATGACTCCAAAAGCATGGGCAAGATTAGCAGAAATAGATAAGTAGGATTACATGGAGCTAAAAAATTCTCTACAGCAAAGGAAACAATCAACAGAGTAAAGAGTCAAACTAAAAGAGAAAATATCTGCATATCATACATCTGACGAGTGATTAGTGCCCACAATACACAAAAAACTGAAACAGGCCAGGCGTGGTGGCTCACGCCTGTAATCGCAGCACTTTGGGAGGCCAAGGTGGGTGAAACACCTGAGGTCAGGAGTTTAAGACCAGCCTGGCCAATGTGGTAAAACCCTTTCTCTACTAAAAATGGAAAAATTAGCTGGGCATGTTGGTGGGTGCCTGTAGTCCCAGCTACTCAGGAGACTGAGGTAGGAGAATTGCTTGAATCCAGGAGACGGAGGTTGCAGTGAGCCAAGGTCATGTCACTGCACTGTGGCCTGGGCAACAGAGTGAGACTCCATCTTAAAAAAAAAAAACTGAAACAACTTAATAGAAAACCAAAATAACTATATTAACAAATGGGCAAAGACCTGAATACAAAGAAGACAAGCAAATGGCCAAGAAGTATACGAGAAGGAACTAATCATTACCAAGCATCAGAAAACTGCAAGTAAAAATCACAATCAGGTATCATCCCACACCCGCTAGAATAGCTATTACCAAAATGACAAAAGATTACAAGTATTGATGAGGATGTGAAGAAAGGGGAATCATTGTACACAGTTGATTAGAATACAAAATAACATAGCCATAATTGAACACAGTATGAAGGTTCCTAAGGCAATTAAATGTATAACTACCATATGATCCAGCAATTTTACTTCTGGGTATATATCCAAATGAAATGAAATCAGTATGTTGAAGAAATATCTGCACCCAAGTTTATTGCAGCACTGTTCATAATAGCCAAGATGTAGAAAAAAACCTGTCTTCATTGGCAGATAACTGAATAAAGAAAATGAGGTATCTTTATATGTATCTATTTATCTAATAGAATATTATTTATCCTTAATAAAGAAGGGAACCTTGCCATTTACTAAAACATGGATAAGCGTGAAATAGAGCAAAAGTGAAATAAGCTAGACACAGAAAGACAAATACATTATATGATCTCCCTTATATGTGGAATCAAAAACAACTGAACCTATAAAAACAGTAGAATGGTGTTGTCCAGGTGTAGGGAGGGCTGGAGAAATGGGGAAATGTTGGCCAAAGGTTACAAAGTTTCAGTTATGTAGGATAAATAAGTTCTGGAGGCCTAATATACAGCATATTGACTGTACTTAATAATATTTTCAGTCTATATTTGAAATTTGCTAAGAGAGTGGATCTTACACACAGAAAAGATAACTATATGAAGTGTTGGATGTATTAGTTTTATTGTGGTAATTATTTCACAACGTATCCATATATCAAAACATTACAAAGAATCTAAAGTATATATTTTTGTGTTAATTATATCTCAAAGCCGGAAAAATATTAACTACCTCTGCTACTTTTTTTTTTTTTTTTAAACGGAATCTCACTCTGTCACCCAGGCTGGAGTGCAGTGGCGAGATCTTGGCTCACTGCAACCTCTGCCTCCCGGGTTCAAGCAATTCTCTGCCTCAGCCTCCTGAGTAGCTGGGATTATAGGCACCTGCCACCATGCCTGGCTAATTTTTGTATTTTTAGTAGAGACGGGGTTTCACCATGTTGGCCAGGCTGGTCTTGAACTCCTGATCTCGTGATCCACCCGCCTCGGCCTCCCAAAGTGCTGGGGTGTGAGCCACCATGCCTGGCCTATCTCTTCTACTTCTAAAAGTCTAAGTGCCTCCAGGGTAAATTCTCAGCTTCTCTATAAAGCTCAGCCCCACAATAATATCTTCTAGTTTTTAAGCGTTAAGTACTATGTGTATTTCCTATATGCTCATAATTCCCAAATTTATATCTACGATCTGCTTGGTATGCTTGGAACCCTTCTTGGAATGCAATGCTCATATTTACAATTGCCTACGTGACATATTTATTTAAATGTCTAATAAGTATCTCAGATTCAGCATGTCCAGTGATGTGACTTGGCTGTGTCCTCACCCAAATGTCATCTTGAATTGTAGTTCCCCAAATCCCCACATGTCATGAGAGGGACCCAGTGGGAGGTAATTGAATCATGGGGGTGGTTACCCCCATGCTGTTATTCTCATCATAGTGACTGAGTTCTCAGAAAATCTAGTGGTTTTATAAGGGGCTTTTCCCACTTTTGCTTGGCACTTCTCCTTCTGGTCATCACATCAAGGGCATGTTTGCTTCACCTTCCATCAGGATTGTAAGTTTCCTAAGGCCTCCCCAGCCATGCTGAATTGTGACTCAGTTAACTGTCTTTCCTTTATACATTACCCAGTCTCAGGTATGTCTTTATTAGCCACGTGAGAAGGAAATAACACATCCAGAAACAAACACATTTCGTTTTCCTTTACAACCCCCTACTCTTCTTACTTCCCATATCCAAAAATGGCAACTCAGTTTGTCTACCTATGTAGAATAAAATCTATGTTACCTTTCTTTCTCCTTTTGCTTATATATTATGTACATCCATTTCTAAATATATTAGCTCAATCCTCAGTAGATATAAAAATCCAATCTCTTTATCATCTCTTAACTGCTTTCTCAGTCTCCATTCTTTGCTTCTGATACATTTATTTTTGACATAGCAACAAGAGGGACTGTTTTGTAAAACAAGTCAGATTGTATTATTCTGTCTCAAACTATCCAAGAGCTAATTATTTTACTTAGAATAAGAGCCAGAATACTTACGATCACCTGTGAAATCTAGGTGATCAGGCCTCAGTGTCTTTCTCACTTAATGCTCTTTTATTGTTACAACACAATAGCTTTATATTCTTTTTCCTCTCCAGTCTAGCCATACTGGCCTTTGCATTTTTTAAATATATCAAAATTTAGTGCCTTTGTACTTGATTTTGCTTCTGTCTAAATCGATTTTCTCAAAATAGCTGCAGGGATTTTTCCATCCTGTATCAGTAAAGTCTTTCCTAATCAATCTTATAAAATAGCAACGCCCTTCATCCCACAGTCCTTTATGCCCTGCACTGTGCTTTAGGTTAGCACATAGCTCTGTTTGACAGAATATACTGCTTATTGTCTATCTTCTCATTAGGATGTAAGCTCCTAGATAGCCAAGAAGTTGTCTGTCCTGTTTACTACTGTATCCTCCATGCCTAGAAGTGTGCTTAATGCATAAAAGGCACTAAAGCAATCGTAGTATTCTGACTGAGTAAATTGATAAATAAATCCAGGCCATTTTACTGTCCCCCAAAATGTTTTTCCATGGATGCTTCTTTATAATACAGTGGTTTTTTGACTAGAGGCTAGATCTAGACTCCTCCAGTTATTTATAAAGAAAATACTTTAACCATCTTTTTATGTATTTGTCAAAAGTCATCTTCAGATAGTGTCCAAGTAACACAAATAATAGTATATTAGTCTGCCAAAACCTTAACCCTTAATTGGCTGTAATCCATGAAATTTATAGAGAAGGTATGTCTTTGTATGCATTTTTAGTGATTAATGATTGCTTTACAGACGAGTAAATATTTGCACCAATGAAATTACCACTTGGAAAGATGTTTCTAGAGATTAAATCACTACTGCAGAAGGAAATATGATTAAAAGTGTTTTCACTACCTTGCAATTGTATCTAAGGTCATCGGCAATCTAGGGCCATAGCTAATGAAGCTAAAATATCTGATAGGCTTCACATTTAGAACATATGTTAAATCCTGTCATTTGTGTTTTTTGTTGTTTTTATAAATTACGTTTTACATTATTAGTAACGCTGTTCAAAAAAGGAGGATACATTTTTGGTTTTGATTTACAGCCAAAAGAGAGATCAGGTTATTAGTTTCGAGATCCCCATGCCACAAGCACATACTTCAATTCAAATAAAAGAGCTCTTTTGTAGCACCTTGTGTTTCATCCATCTAGTATCAAACACAGTGAAATTAACAGGTCAAGTAAAACTTCTAATTAAACACTCAGGTTAAATACATAGATCTGGAGTTTGGATTTAAAAGCTAAAACTGTCTTAGAGTCACGAAGTATATAGAATTATAAATTTAAGGCAAGCACACTTTAAATGTATAGTGCGTACCTCTATGCAGCAGCAGTAGCTATGACCCTGTTTTACCACAAATACATGCATCAAAGAGTTACACCATAAACACACCCAGGAGAAATTTACACTGGCTAATGATGAAGATGTGTAACCCAGAGAACATTTATCATTTATGTTTTAACACAACAACTGTATCCCACTATTGAGACTTTCAAGTTCTGTTTATGGAAATAGAAAGCATTTTGAGTTCACACTGCTCTTGAAACCAGCTGCAAATGACCCCTCAGGCAATTCTCTATTGCTGCCTAAAGCAATAGCAATGAATTCAGTTTAACCGTACTCAAACACTGTGATTATCTACTATAAAGAACACCAAATTATTACATGCAAATACTATGATTTCTTCAACTGTGTCTCGGTCTGGACCAGGACTACTCCCTGCAGAGTTACTATCCTCAGGTATGCTGGATCAGTTCTCTTTTGAAACTCTAGTAGCCAAAAAGAGAATGATCAAACCTAGACCTGTAATGATGCATTTTGCGTCAGTTTTTTTTGTTGTTGTTGTTTTGCTGATAGCATAAAATGATTGACCAATAACTTTGTAGCTAAACATGCAAACTCTAAAATAAGAAATAGTGAAAAGAATAGGTGGAGAATATAGTGGTCTGTGTCAAAACACTTCTAGAATGATAAAGATTAAAAATAAATAAAAATAATGACGTACATAAGAGGGAATGGAAAGATTTGTTTTACAAATAGCTTTCCAACTTGCTCTCTTAGTAATTTTAGAGAGCAAGATTAAATTCATCACAAGAGAATTTACATATATACAATGATTTTCTTTGAAACCTTATAAAACTTCTTCAAGTAAAATTTTTAACATTCAAGGACTGCTGTGGTTTAGATAACATTTGTTTGTCCCTACTAAATTTCGTGTTGAAATTTGATAGCCAATATGGTGTGTTGAGAGGTAGAGCCTAATGGGAGGTGCTTTGGTTATGGTGGTAGATCCCTCATGATTAGCTTGGTTCTATTCTCATGGTAGTAAATGAGTTCTTACTCTGGCGAAACAGGATTAGTTCTTTCAGATAGGGGTTAGTACCCTAGAGGATAGATTGTTATGAAGCCAAGACACCCCTCCGTTTTGTTCTCTCTTCGCACATGTCCATTTCCTCTTTGACCTTTGTCATGTCTTGATGCAGCACAAAATCCTTCACCAGAAGCCAAGCAGATGCCAGTGCCATGCTTCTACTACAATCCTGTAGAAACATGAGTTAAATAGAGCTCTTTTCTTTATAAATTTCCCCACCTCAGGTATACCTTCATAGCAACACAAAATAAACTAAGATAAACACAAACTTTAAAAAAATTTTTTTGAAGAATTCCTTCCGTCCTAGCTTAAAATTCCTCCATATTTTCCCAGCATCATCAGTTAACATTGCCTTTACTGGATTACTTCCATGATTATTCAAACAGTAGACCTGAAATTAACAGAAACAAAAGCAACCCCTCAAAACTTATCTCAGGACCTGACCCCCTATTTTTTCCAGCAGCCATCACATCTCATTATTTTTGCTGTAAAACTCCTCACAGTATTTTCTCTATTCAGTGTCTCTATTTCCCAATCTCCATTTGCCTCCTCAACCTACTTTTTCTGGGCTTCTGTCTCTACCGATTCCCTAAAACTGTTGTTTTCAAAGCTATCAGTGACAACAGAAGCTGTTCTCTGTTTCTTCTTTTCCCATAATTTACACACTCAAATCACTGGAAAATCTTGTGGACTCTAACTTCAGCACATATTTCAGCTTCCCCCAATTTTCTCCATCTGTACCACAACCACTCTAGTGAAAACTATCATTATTTTTTCTTGAAATTTAACCAATTTCCCCTTTGATCACCTTTCCTTAATTTATCTCTCTAATCTTCAGACAGCAGCCCGATTAAAATATTGTTAATCAAATTATCTTTCTTCCCTCCTTATAAAGCTTCAATGGCTTTATTTTGCAAGTAAAAAAAAAATCTAAATTCCCTACCATGTGCTATATTATCTGGTGCCTGTCAACATTTGGTCTCTTCTTATACCGAAATGTCTTCTGTTTTCTATGCTGTAGCCACAGAAGCCTCCTTCTCGTTCCTTGAAACACTAGGATCAGTACTACCTGAGGCCTCTAAATTTGTATTACCCTATATTTGCCTCATTCCCCAAAGCAAGAGTAGGGACCAAGCTGATTACCTAGTTGCCATATCTAAAAGATGGACTTAGAACTAGGTATATGGAACATTGTACTAGGAAAGGTAAGATTATTAAAATGTAAATATAGTTGTGACTGTGCGAATATTTTAGTTACATAGAGTCTTGAAAAATAATACTTTACCACAATGAACTCTATTTTGAATAGGGATTTGGGAGCATAATAGCAGGTTAGGGAAAAAAAAGAATCAACCAAAAGCTTTCATCATAATCCCTAACCTAACTTCACTTTTACCATGTGGTGGACTAATATTTTTCTTTACTTAAGGCTGATATAAGGGCCATTGAGACATTGTTACTTGCTTTTCCTTTTTCCTTCCTTTCTGCTTTTTTCCTTTGGGGATGAGTATCCAGTATTCCTACTCTCTAAGCTTTTAATGCCAATCTATCCTTCCCCCATATCAGCATACATTCTGGAAAGGCTGTGATGTTATAATCTTTATTTTGACTTAAATTCGTTTATACAGGCTTTTAACTTTTTCCAGGTATTTATATTCCAAAAATGTTTGATATGTAATTCTGATGTATAATACGTTTTACTACATAAATTAAGATGCTTTTGAAAATAAGAAACAGGAATCAAGCCAGAGAACAAAAAAAAATGAAGAATACAATGACAAAACTGCTTAATTCGTAAATCTGAGATTATCCTCTGTCATGTCTGGCCCTAATTGCAAAATGCTTTATTTTTCCCATTAATGCTATGGCAAGAATCTGACTTTAAGCCTCTTCCCTTCTCTTTCTTTAACTATCTCTAAACCCTTCCCTTTATTGGTATCCTTCAGTGGTATGGTTTGAATATTTGTAGTCTTCAAAAATTCATGTTGAAACTTAATTCCCATTGTGATGGTACTAAGACATGAAACCTATTAGGTAGTGAGTAAATCACCAGGGCTTCACACTCATGAATGGGATTAATGCCCTTATATAAGACACTTCAAAGAGCTGCTTCGCTCTTTCATCAGTTCTGCCATATGAGGAGATAGCCTCCATACCTTTTGCTCTTCCATCCTTCTGTCATGTGAGAAAGCAGCAATAGGGTGCCATCTAGAAGTAAGGGCAAGTCCCCACCAGACACCAACTCTGCTGGTGCCTTAACCTTGGACTTTACAGCCTCCAGAGCTGTGGGAAATAAATTATATTATTCATAAGTGACTCAGTTTAAAACATTTTGTTGTTGCAGCAGTAGCAGACTACGAAACTGCTATAGTCTTATTTCAAGTCTTAACCAAAGCCCACTAGAGTTAATGCAGTAGCCCCAAATCTTACCTTTCTTAACTCTATCTTTTACATTGTGATCAGATAATCTTTTCAAAGGATGGCTATGTGATAGGCACTTAGGAAATATGCAATGTGCAAAAAGTCCACTAAACTACTCAAGTTCCTTTAACATTCTTCCATCACTTTAAGAATAAAATGTAAATACAGTATTTGAGACCTATTCATGGGCCATTTGACCTTGACTGCCTCAGCATTATCTTTTCCTGACGCTCCCCAAACACTTTGTGCCCCACATCAAGAAAACCATAGTTTCCCAAAGGAACGAAATCTCTCACTATGTCACTATGTCAAATACATGAGTGAATAAATTCTTTAGAAGAGGTCATTAGGAGGGAATAAAATCTGAAGGCCGTAGCAAAACATGAAGCAAGAATCTGTTTTCCACACAAAGATAAATCACAATGAACTTCCCAGAGAAGATGAAACACTCTAAAGAAAATAAATCACTGACTAAGACACAAGGCTTCTAGTAATCAGATTTACATGTGTCATAATATGAAATGAATTGATATGTTTTCTGCTCCATCAGAATGATTTGACAATGACATTTTAAATATGCATGGATTACCCTGGATCAACGTCAGAATAATTCAGTTAGGGTGTCTGAACTGTTTTCACTCACAATAATTCTTTTTTTTTTTTTTTTTTTTTTTTGAGACGGAGTCTCGCTCTGTCACCCAGGCTAGAGTGCAGTAGCATGATCTCAGCTCAGTACAACCTCTGCTTCCTGGGTTCAAGCTCATTCTCTTGCCTCAGGCTCCTGAGTAGCTGGGACTAGGGCGTGTGCCACCACGCCCAGCTAATATTTGTATTTTTAGTAAAGACAGGGTTTCATCAGGCCAGGCTGCTCTCAAACTCCTGACCTCAAGTGATCCACTCACCTCAGCCTCCCAAAACCCTGGGATTACAGGCATGAGCCACAGTGTCCCGCCTTCACTCATAACAATTCTAATACTAAATGTGTGGGGGGTTTTGCCTATACTAGCAACCAATTCTCCAACTCTCTGGACACCATCTGGTTGTCCTACAGTTCAATTTAACTCTAACACTACCCAGAGTTAGCATCAGACTCCACAGGTTCAGACCCACTAGACATTCCTCACTCCACACGCCAGCCCCAAGTATTGGGTACAGAGGATATACACATTTCTGTCTGACTTCGCTACAAAGTTGAAGTCCCCACAAGCCCCACTTCAGGTTTGAAAATTTGCTAGAATGGCTCACAGATCTCAGAAAATAATGCACTTACTGTCACCCGTTTATAATAGAGGACACAAATGAAAAGCCAGATGAAGAGGTACATAGAACAAGGTCCAGAAGAGTTCAAAGCACAGGAACTTCTGTCTTCGTGGGGTTGGCGTGCCCCACCCTTCTGGCATATGGATATTTTCACCAACCTAGAAACTCACTGAACCCTGTTGGCTAGGGGTTTTTGTGGAGGTTTCATTAGGTAGGCATGACTGACTGCATTATTGGCCACTGAAGGTTCATCTCCAGCCTCTCTCCCTTCCTCAGAAGTCTGGATGTGAACCTGAAAGTTCCAACTGTCTGGTCACACACTAGTTTTTCTGGTAACCAGTCTCCATGCTGAAGCTTTTTGGAGGGTACCCAAGAGTCCCCTCATTAGCATAAACTCCGGTATGGTTGAAAGGATTTACAATGAGTAAGGAAAGATATTCCCTCATCCGTATCTCTCAGAAAATCCCAAGGGTTTTAGAAGCCCTATGCCAAAACTAGGGGAAAAGACCAAATACGTATTTCTTATTATATCACAAAATCACAGTTGCCACAAATGTTATAATGTTAGAGGTAATGGTACATTTACAGAAAACAGTGCCAACCATTATAAATGATAAAATATTAAACAATAACAATTATTAAGACTTGAAGCCTCTTTACTCAAAAGATTTTAATTGACTTTACTACTCTTTAAATAGTTCCTTCAATATTAGCAGGAAGGTTGATACAATTAATAACTCAAATATATATCACTGGTACTAAGTATATAGACATAAATTTAAAAATTACAAAAGTATTTCCTAACTAAAGTGATAACTAGGGGCAGCCCAAGAGTAGAGATGATGATTGATGATTCACTAAATGGTTAAACTTTTATTGTCTAATATTAAGCAAAAGACAAGAGAATACTTATGTATATATTATAGGTAAGTAATTTTAAATACTTTTATTTAATCCTAACATTAAACCTGTAATATAGATACTATCACTACTATTTCGCAGATGAAGTTATTGAGACTAATGCAGTTTCAATAACTTTTCAAGGAAATATGGATAGTGAGCAGGAGAAATTGGCCTCAAGCCTAGAATTGATATTCCTAATCTCAAAATGCAGATAATAAATATCTTAAGAGTTTCTGTGATTCTTAAATAAGAGAGTGTATTAAAGCTGTCCATCACAAGATTCAGTTTACATTATATGTTAAGAAGAAGAATCCTTTCTTCTTAGTAATAAGGATACTTCAATACATCAAGTGTTTCAACTGCTTTAGAACAATTCTTTTGGCAAATATCATACATATTATAGACTTTCACTTAAATTTTCTAACATTAGGGTTGTACATTTCAGTAACTCCTAGAACCAGTTAAATAACAGCAACCTCCTAGTGGGGCTGATAGGGCTTGAAGAATATTGGACAGTGTATGCCACAACCACAGGTATTCAATTGAAAACAAAACAAAGCATGCCAGCTGTTCAAGCAAAAAAGTATTCGCTAATGTAACTAAGGATAAGGGCCAACTGTTTGTAAACTTGACCCACTTGGTATGGGCGAAGAGAGACCACTGTTAGCTTGACCTAGAATCCAGAATCACAGAGCTGATACTATATCCTAGTCTCTTTCATTCTGAACGTTAGCTTTGCTTGCTGTAGGCATATGGCTGCAAAAGTGCCTATCACCTCTGGCATAGTGCCATAGTGTTACTTTCCTTCCCAGGGCTCCCCATCCCTCAGGCTAGACTGATGTATCAAATATAACATCTAGCTTAGGGCTGAGCCATAATTCTTCTAGTTAAGAACCAATTAGTTTTTCCCTTTTGAAAATGTGAACTGCATACAGAGACTCCAGCTGACCTTTGTTAAGTATTCAAGCAGAATGATAATGTAGAGTTTGGATTTGAGTTGTTGTGAGTGCATTGCAGATTCACAAGGGACTGGAATAAACAGAAGAGCAAGAACTGCAAGTAGAGTGCTGATAGGGAGAGAAATGAGCAGAGGATGAAGACTCACAAAGGGAAAGAGAAATGAGAGATGGTGTAGTCACTCAGAGTTACAGAGGTAACTCTAGCTCCAAACTTTCTGAGTCTGATTTTTGTGAAGTCCAGCTGTAAAGTAGCTTTGATATTACATGTCCATGAGATGTTCAGACATTTCCAATATGCCATTCATTTTATGGAAATGTATTTGAGTGTGTGTTTAGATTTTGGAATCTAAGGAAACTTGGTAAAAACAAATATTATAAATTCTTCTATTAGGTGGATTTTTTTTTAATTTGCTCCATTTCCAGTTTAGAAGTTATGTGTATTTTCTGTTCTTGGAAATTTGCCTTAGCTCTATGTCTATGCTTAGGATATCTTGTCATTTTTCAAATTTCCTAAATTCCTATGTAATCCTGAGACAAGAAACAGGGGTCGATAGATAGGATACTAAGCTTCCTTCTGCAGGGCCAGGGATCTCTGGAGATGTATACTTGTTTTATTTTTATCGATATTCCCCCAAATTCTTTCTAAAAGTCCTAATATTGAGCAATGCAATACTGTAGCGGTTTCATTATAGCATTGCTGTTACTGTGAATTTTTTAATTACATGAGGATATTAACATATAAAGCCCTGATAAAAGAGGACTGCTGATGGCTTTTTGGTGTGGTAGCAATAACAACAACGGGAAAGATATAGTTTGAGTACTCCTGGAAGAGGAGACTCTTGAGTATTTTTAAAAAGAACAGCATGCTACTGTAAAACAACAAGAATATGAAGAAAAATACTTGGAACCTGATACTGGTTTTGAGGCTAGTTTTGTGATACAGAGGTGAAGTTAAAAAAAAATTCCTTAATCTAGATATGATATTCTAAAGGGGAAGTTTTGAAAAGCAGTAGTATTGATTTACATTCTTTAACCTATTAATCGGTCTACAAGTGCGTATTGAGAGCCTGTATGTAACAGGCATGTAACAGGTTCAGTGTGCCCTCATGAAATTTGTAATTTAAGCGACAAAGACTGATATTAAACAAATAACACACAAACAAATGCCTACTTTTATTTTATACCAAATATGTGACAGAAAAAAACACAGTGTATATGAGAGGATATAAAAAGAACATTTATTGTTGGATCAAAGAAAACCTCTTAAGAAAAGTTGAAGTACAGTTGAGACTTAAAGGATGGATTGGTGTTAGCCAGAAAGAGAGTAGAGAAGGGGGAATGTCCTCCAGGTTAAAGAGAGAGCATATAAAGAATCCTTAAACTGGTAAAAAGCTTGAGTTGTTAGAAGAATAGGCAAAAAGTCTGGTGGATGACAGTACATCGCAAAAACGTGACAATAAAGGCTGAAGATGTAAGTAGCGAAAAATCACTATAGGTCTTGTAGGACAGTGTATTTAGGTTTTATTCTTTGAGCTATGGGATACCATTTAAGAATTTTAAATTGGATATCATTTTTGTGTTTATCAATTTCTCTGCACACATATGCATTATTTAATATGTATATACATTATATTAGTACATATTTTTGTATGTATACATATATGTTTCTAGTTACTGTATAACAAATGCAGTATACTTTATGTTAGTACATATAATGTTGATATGTATACATACACACATATATTTCTAGCTGCTGTATAACAAATGTGGTAGAAAGGGAGAATGAATGAATAGTAGCTTATTGTGGAATTCTGAAACTAAGAAGATTTAGACTAGACACATTGAAACAAAATGGAAAAACTTCACTGTCTTATATATTTTACAGCCAACAACTAGAAAGGGATGCATTGAATGTACTACATCCTGCTGCATTGTAGTCAAGAATGATTATGTTTTGGATATAAGAACGTTGGTAGTTGTAGGTAATATTTGTTGAGGTAGAAATAAAAAGGGATAAGAAACCAATGTTGTGTCTCTCTGTGTGTGTGTGTGTAGTGGGGAAGAGAATAAATTCATATTTAGATTTTTCATATTGAAGATACCTTTGTGAAATTATACAAATGACATCATTATGTCAATAGTTATGTAGATGAATTCAGTGTTCAAGATAGAGGTCATGAGTGAAAGGATAAATTTGTCAGTAGATGTATTTATGAACATAATAGTGGATTAGTCAATATCAGTGGTTATCAACCATGGCAGTAAAATGGGAGGATTTTGAAAACACAATATTGATTTTTGACAATTCAGGGTAAATCTCCTGATGACAATAACCCAGATTTTCTTGAGAGACTGAGAAGCTGAACAATTCTGAGAGACTCAGGCTGGGGGACAAACACTGGAGTTAAGTGTCTAAGGGAGAACAAATAAATTTTCTGAGCTTTAATACAGAATGACACATTGGTACCCTACGCATGAGGGTAAATCAGAAATAGACTGTTCTATAAGGAACCAAAGCCCAATTCTGAATCATCTCAACTATTAAATTCTTTTAATCCAGGATGATTTGCTTATAGCCACATGCAAGAAACAAACCTGTATCTTACCTGAAATAAAATGATAGTTTTGTTTTTCAAGCAATTTACATTAAAAACATTCTGACATATAATATGACCAAAATATCAGATTTAACATCAAGCTACAGATAGAAAATAAACACAGAATCATAGAGTATCCAGATAGTAGACTTAGACACGGACTTTAAAACAACCACACTTAATACATTTAGGATAAATATTGGCACAGAGTTTGGCATATAGGCCAAATTCAGTCCTTAGCTTGTTTTTGTACGGCACACAAGCCAAGCATGTTTTTTACAAATATATGGCCCCATCTTATATTTTTCTTTGTGTTATTGTTATTGTTGATGTTGTTGTTTATTCATTTGTTTTTATAATTCTTTAAATATGTAATAAAAAACAGTATTCAAAATATATAAGAAATCCTAAAATATAATGGAAAAATAGAGCTCAATGGAAAAAAAAAGCCATAAAATACAATTTACAGAAGAGGAAACACAAATGGTCTATATATACGCATACATATACGCACACATATACATGCATGTGCATATATGTACACATGTATATATCTACGTGTGTATGCATGTGTGTAGATACGTATACATACCTATATGCATATATGTATATATGTACATATGCAAATATGTATATGTGTATGTTTGTATATCTGTATATAAACCTGTATGTGTATACAGATACTTATATACATGTGTATATACAGATATACACATACATGCATATTTACATATAACACATACATATATACATGCGTGCATATACAGATATATACATACACATATATACATATGTATGTGTATGTTTTTAAATTTATGGAAATTAAATAGAAAACCATGAGAGATACGACTTCAGAAAATCTTATGGCAGACGCATACTATTTGTTCACTAGATTGTTTTTCTTCCTCTTCTGAGCATACATCTGGACTGTATTTACCCACTTTTACAGTTAGATGTGCCAAAAAATGAATTTTGAATAATGGAATGTGGGTTGAAATAAAATGCATCACTTCCAAGTCCAGCGCATACACTAACTTCCAAGCAATAAATTTCCAGACTTTCTCTCTTCCTTCTTCTGCTTGCTTGGTGAAGAGCCACTAGAATAAAAAGAAACCTGTGTTCCTTCATGGAGCAATCCCTGTCCTGCAAACCACTGTTTGTGTGTGCCTGTAAATGAAAATATTTGAAATATATACAATTAGCAAAAATTCAGAAGTTTGAAATGCCTAATATTAGCAGGGATATAGAGCATCTGGAACTATATTATGTTGTTAGTGGGTATATAGCAACATATATATATATATATATATGTGTATATATATATATATATATATATATATAAACATACACACATATGTATACACACACACACATCTATACACACAGAGAGCATCTGGAAGTATGTTGCTAGTGGGTATATAGCAACATATATATATATTGAAACGAAATGGAAAAATGCACTGTCTTATGTATTTTACAAGCAACAACTGGAAAGGGATGCATTGAATGTACTACATCATGGTACTACATCATTGAATGGAAAAGCTGCACTGTCTTACATATTTTGCAAGCAACACCTGGATATATATAATTTTGAACATATCTCATATCTGATAACCCAGCAGTGTCACTTCAATGTATTCATTCAATATAAACTGTATTAACTAAATCATTAATTCCATATAAAATAGAGAATAAATCATGCATATACTCAAGAACACACGATTCAATATATGATGTTGTTTGACACAGGAAAAAAATCAAAAGTTTATAATAATACAGAATTAAAAATAAACTAAACCTACATTTATAAACATGGATATATCTTAAAAACAATAACAGAAGATATATGGACATATGGTACTGTTGGGGCACAGAAAACAATGCCCCACAATGAAGTCCTCAGAACAAAAAAGATTTTCTCTGACCTTCTGTTTCTTTGTCCCATTCTCCCCAGAGGCTAGCCATAGAAACTAGAATCCCTTTTCCCCAAGACTAGTCATGGAAACCAAATCTCTTTCTTCCAAAGCCAGACATAAGACCTAAAAATATTACTCTACCTATCCTTCCACTTCTCTGTGTAAAAGCTGGCCATGAAGAAATTATCTGACCTACCTTGTTTGACTATAGGTCATAAGTCCTCTTCTATGGAGGATCCTGTCCCATACCCAGAAGAAGGGAATCCATGGACAGAGAGACAAAGAAGAATCTACATAGGCAGGCCTTGCTGGGTTTTGCTACTGAGTCTATTAGCATTAGATCATCCCCTTTTTGTTTAATCACATTCCAACATGGCTATCCATGCTTTGTTAAACCTAAGCATAAAATTGGGCAATTTTTCTTCTATCTTTGGGTTTTCATTCTAAAGGCTCCTGTATATACATGTTAAATAAGTTTTTATGCCTTTTCTCCAATTAATCTGCCTTTTGCAAGTTATTTTTTTTTTACTTTCTTTTATTATTATTATTATACTTTAAGTTCTAGGGTACATGTGCACAACATGCAGGTTTGTTACATATGTATACATGTGCCATGTTGGTGTACTGCATTAACTCTTCTTTTACATAAGGTATTCCTCCTAATGCTATCCCTCCCCCATGCCCCCACCCCACCACAGGCCCCAGTGTGATGTTCGCCTTCCTGTGTCCAAGTGTTCTCATTGTTCAGTTCTCACCTATGAGTGAAAACATGTGGTGTTTGGTTGTCTGTCCTTGAGATAGATTGCTCAGAATGATGGTTTCCAGCTTCATCCATGTCTCTACAAAGGACATGAACTCATCCTTTTTTATGGCTGCATAGTATTCCATGGTGTATATGTGCCACCTTCTCTTAATCCAGTCTATCATTGATGGACAGTTGGGTTGGTTCCAAGTCTTTGCTATTGTGAATAGTGCCGCAATAAACATACGTGTGCATGTGTCTTTATAGTAGCATGATTTATAGTCCTTTGGGTATATACCCAGAAATGGGATGACTGGGTCAAATGGTATTTCTATTTCTAGATCCCTGAGGAATTTCCATACTGTCTTCCACAATGGTTGAACTAGTTTACAGTCCCACCAACAGTGTAAAAGTGTTCCTATTTCTCCACACCCTCTCCAGCACCTGTTGTTTCCTGACTTTTTAATGATCACCATTCTAACTGGTGTGAGATGGTATCTCATTGTGGTTTTGCTTTGCATTTCTCTGATGGCCAGTGATGATGAGCATTTTTTCATGTGTCTTTTGGCTGCATAAATGTCTTCTTTTGAGAAGTGTCTGTTCATATTATTTGCCCACTTTTTGATGGGGTTGACTTTTTCTTGTAAATTTGTTTGTCAATTCTGATATTAGCCCTTTCTCAGATGGGTAGATTGCAAAAATTTTCTCCCATTCTGTAGGTTGCCTGTTCAGTCTGATGGTAGTTTCTTTTGCTGTGCAGAAGCTCTTTAGTTTAATTAGGTCTCATTTGTCTATTTTGGCTTTTGTCGCCATTGCTTTTGGCGATTTAGTCATGAAGTCCTTGCCCATGCCTATGTCCTGAATGGTATTGCCTAGGTATTCTTCTAGGGTTTTTATGATTTTAGGTCTAACATTTAAGTCTTTAATCCATCTTGAATTAATGTTTGTTTAAGGTGTAAGGAAGGGATCCAGTTTCAGCTTTCTACATATGGCTAGCCAGTTTTCCCAGCACCATTTATTAAATAGGGAATCCTTTCCCCATTTCTTGGTTTTTGTTAGGTTTTTCAAAGTTCATGTGGTTGTAGATGTGTGGTATTATTTCTAAGGGCTCTGTTCTGTTACATTGGTTATATCTCTGTTTTGGTACCAGTACTATATTATAGTTTGAAGTCAGGTAGCGTGATGCCTCCAGCTTTGTTCTTTTGGCTTAGGATTGTCTTGGCAATGCGGGTTCTTTTTTGGTTCCATATGAACTTTAAAGTAGTTTTTTCCAATTCTGTGAAGAAAGTCATTGGTAGCTTGATGGGGATGGCATTGAATCTGTAAATTACCTTGGGCAGTATGGCCATTTTCATGATATTGATTCTTCCTATCCATGATCATGGAATGTTCTTCCATTTGTTGGTGTCCTCTTTTATTTCATTGAGCAGTGGTCTGTAGTTATCCTTGAAGAGGTCCTTCACATCCTTTGTAAGTTGGATTCCTAGGTATTTTATTCTCTTTGAAGCAATTGTGAATGGGAGTTCACTCATGATTTGGCTCTCTGTTTTTCTGTTGTTGGTATATAGGAATGCGTGTGATTTTTGCACATTGATTTTGTATCCTGCAGCTTTGCTTATGTTGCTTATCAGCTTGAGATTTTGGGCTGAGACAATGGGGTTTTCTAAATACACACTCATGTCATCTGCAAAGAGGGACAAATTAGGAAAAGGGTTCCTTTTTTCCTAATTGAATACCCTTTATTTCATTCTCCTGCCTGATTATACTGGCCAGAACTTCCAACACTATGTTGAATAGGAGTGGTGAGAGAGGGCATCCCTGTCTTGTGCAACTTTTCAAAGGGAATGCTTCCAGTTTTTGCTCATTCAGTATGATATTGGCTGTGGGTTTGTCATAAATAGGTCTTATTATTTTGAGATACGTCCCATCAATATCTAGTTTATTGAGAGTTTTTAGCATGAAGGGCTGTTGAATTTTGTCAAAGGCCTTTTCTGCATCTATTGAGATAATCCTGTGGTTTTTGTCTTTGGTTCTGTTTGTGTGATGGATTACATTTATTGATTTGCATATGTTGAACCAGCCTTGCATCCCAGGGATGAAGCCCAGCTGATTGTGGTGGATAAGCTTTTTGATGTGCTTCTGGATTCGGTTTGGCAGTATTTTATTGAGGATTTTTGCATCGATGTTCATCAGGGATATTGGCCTAAAATTCTTATTTTCTTGTGTCTCTGCCAGGCTTTGGTATCAGGATGATGCTGGCCTCATAAAGTGAGTTAGGGAGGATTCCCTCTTTTTCTATTGATTGGAAAAGTTTCACAAGGAAAGGTCCCAGCTCCTCTTTGTACCTCTGGTAGAATTCGGCTGTGAATCTGTCTGGTCCTGGACTTTTTTTAGTTGGTAGGCTATTAATTATTGCCTCAATTTCAGAGCCTGTTATTGGTCTGTTCAGGGATTCAGCTTCTTCATGGTTTAGTCTTGGGAGGGTGTATACGTCCAGGAATTTACCCATTTCTTCCAGATTTTCTAGTTTATTTGCGTAGAGGTGTTTGTAGTATTCTCTGATGGTAGTTTGTATTTCTGTGGGATTGGTGTTGATATCCCCTTTATCATTTTTTGTTGCATCTATTTGATTCTTCTCTGTTTTCTTCATTAGTCTTGGTAGCGGTCTATCAATTTTGTTCATCTTTCCAAAGTCTGCTTTTATCCGAGACTATGTTTGCAACCCCTGCTTTTTTTTTTTTTTTTTTCCATTTGCTTGGTAGATCTTCCTCCATCCCTTTATTTTGAGCCTATGTGTGTCTCTGCACATGAGATGGGTTTCCTGAATACAGCACCCTGATGGGTCTTGACTCTTTATCCAATGTGCCAGTCTGTGTCTTTTAACTGGAGCACTTAGCCCATTTACATTTAAGGTTAATATTGTTATGTGTGAATTTGATCCTGTCATTATGATGTTAGCTGGTTATTTTGCTCGTTAGTTGATGCCGTTTCTTCATACTGTCGATGGTCTTTACAATTTAACATGTTTTTGCCATGGCTGGTACCGGTTGTTCCTTTCCATATTTAGTGCTTCCTTCAGGAGCTCTTGTAGGGCAGCCCTGGTGGTGACAAAATCTCTCAGCATTTACTTGTCTTTAAAGTATTTTATTTCTCCTGCACTTATGAAGCTTAGTTTGGCTGGATATGAAATTCTGGGTTGAAAATTCTTTTCTTTAAGAATGTTGAATATTGGCCCCCACTCTCTTCTTGCTTGTAGAGTTTCTGCTCAGAGATTCACCGTTAGTCTGATGGGCTTCCCTTTGGGGGTAACCTGACCTTTCTCTAATTTTTTTCCTTCATTTCAACCTTGGTGAATCTGACAATTATGTGTCTTGGGATTGCTCTTCTCGAGGAGTATCCTTGTGGTGGTCTCTGTATTTCCTGAATTTGAATGTTGACCTGCCTTGCTAGGTTGGGGAAGTTCTCCTGGATGATATCCTGAAGAGTGTTTTCCAACTTGGTTCCATTCTCCCTGTCACTTTCAGGTACACCAATTAGATGCAGATTTGGTCTTTTCACATAATCCTATATTTCTTGGAGGCTTTGTTCATTTCTTTTTACTCTTTTTTCTCTAAACTTCTCTTTGTGCTTCATTTCATTCATTTGATCTTCAATCACTCATACCCTTTCTTCCACTTGATTGAATCAGCTACTGAAGCTTGTACATGCGTCACACGGTTCTTGTGCCATGGTTTTCAGCTCCATCAGGTCATATAAGGTCTTCTCTTCGCTGTTTATTCTAGTGAGCCGTTCGTCTAATCTTCTTTCAATGTTTTTAGCTTCTTTGCGATTGGTTCAAACATCTTCCTTTAGCTTGGAGACGTTTGTTATTACTGATTTACTGAAGCCTACTTCTGTCAACTCGTCAAAGTCATTCTCCATCTGGCTTTGTTCCATTGCTGGCGAGGAGCTGCGATCCTTTGTAGGAGAAGAGGCGCTCTGATTTTTAGAATTTTCAGCTTTTCTGCTCCAGTTTCTCCCCATTTTTGTCATTTTATCTACCTTTGGTCTTTGATGATGGGGATGTACAGATGGGGTTTTGGTGTGGATGTCCTTTGTGTTCGTTAGTTTTCCTTCTAACAGTCAGGACCCTCAGCTGCAGGTCTGTTGGAGTTTGCTGGAGGTCCACTTCAGACCGTGTTTGCCTGAGTATCACCAGCGGAGGCTTCAGAACAGCAAACATTGCAGAACAGCAAATGTTGCTGCCTGATCCTTCCTCTGGAAGCTTTGTCTCAGAGGCACACCCAGCTGTATGAGGTGTCAGTCTGCCCCTACCGGGAGGTGTCTCCCAGTTAGGCTGCTCGGGGGTCGGGGACCCACTTGAGGAGGCAGTCTGTCCATCCTCAGATCTCAAACTCTGTGCTGGGAAAAACATTGCTCTCTTCAAAGCTGTCAGACAGGGATGTTTAAGTCTGCAGAAGTTTCTGCTGCCTTTTGTTCAGCTATGCCCTGCCCCCAGAGGTGGAGTCTACAGAGGCAAGCAGGCCTCTTTGAGCTGTGGTGGGCTCCACCCAGTTTGTTTTGTTTACCTAGTCAAGCCTCAGTAATTGCAGACTCCCCTCCTCGAGCCTCGCTGCGGCCTCACAATTCAATCTCAGACTGCTGTGCTAGCAGTGAGCAAGGCTCTGTGGGTGTGGGACCCACCGAGCCAGGCATGGGATATAATCTCCTGGTGTGCCATTTGCTAAGACCATTGGAAAATCGCAGTATTAGGGCAGGAGTGTACCAAGTTTCCAGGATCCATCTGTCATGGCTTCCCTTGGCCAGGAAAGGGAAATCCCCTGACCTTTTGCACTTCCCAGTTGAGGTAATGCCCCGTCCTGCTTTGGCTCACATTCTGTGGGCTTCACTCACTGTCCGACAAGCCCCAGTGAGATGAACCCAGTACCTCAGTTGGAAATGCAGAAATCACCCGTCTTCTGCATTGCTCACGCTGGGAGCTGTAGACTGGAGCTGCTCCTATTTGGCCATCTTGGAACGATCTTTTTGCAAGTTAATTTTTAAGCAAGCCTTCAGAGGGCCAAGCCTTGGCCCCTACAATACCATTTATATACATTTTTAAACATGCAAAACATATATGTGTATATATGTATCTTATGTATATATAATATATATAGCTAAGAAATGCATATATAGTAAAAGTGTAAGTAGAAAATATAGTATCTTGGTGGAGGTTTGTGATAAGGAATATGTACTTGTATATCTTTTTTAACTTTTAGTTCAGGGGCACATATGCAGGTTTGTTGCATAGGTGATCATATGTCATGAGGATTTGTGTACAGATTATCTCATCACCCAGGTATTAAGCCTAGTACCCACTAGTTATTTTTTCTGATCCTCTCCCTCCTCCCACCCTCCAACAGGACCCAGTGTGTGTTGTTCCCCTGTATGTGCCCATGTGTTCTCATCATTAAGCTCCCACTTATAAGTGGGAACATGCAGTATTTGGTTTTCTATTCCTGCATTAGTTTGCTGAGGGTAATGGCCTCCAATTTCATCTATATCCCTGCAAAAGACATGATCTTGTTCTTTTTTTATGGGTGCATAGTATTCCATGCTATATAGGTACTACATTTTCTTTATCCATGTCTTTAATTGATAGACAGTTAAATTGATTCCATGTCTTTGCTATTGTGAATAGTGCTGCAATAAACATAAGTGTCTATGTGTCTTTATAATAGAACAATTTATATTCCTATGGGTATATAACAACTAATGGGATTGCTGGGTGGAATGGTATTCTGTCTTTATATCTCTGAGGAACTGCCACACTGTCTTCCACAATGGTTGAACTAATTTACACTCCCACCATCAGTGGGAGTAAATTTTCACCACACCCTCCCCAGCATCTGCAATTTATTGACTTTTAATAATAGCTAAGTAATACTTTATTTCTTAAGCTAGGATGTATGGTCAAGCATATTATCAGTTATTCTTAAAAACATTTTGATTATTTAAAAATTCTTAAAATATTAAATAATGAGATTGTGTTAATTTGTCCATAGAATTGATGTGTCCAAAGTATTCAAAAAAATTCAAATGAAATAGAGTAACATGTCATTTTATCTATCAGATTATTAATGGTTTTAGAAAAGAATGAGAAAGTGCTCCCATTTGTACACTATTAGTTGAAAGTGAAATGTTTAATATGCATGAAAGATTCCAATATGTAAATATCTACATATAATTTTATTTAACATTTTCACTTCGGAGAGTTTTGTCTAACAAATTATTTCTATGAAGATAATTATATTTCACATTTTCATTTATAGTAGTAAACATTCTGAGGAACATAAAGTTCAAAACTAGAGTATATTCAAATACGTTCATATAGTAGAAAATTATGCAGATATTAAAAATACTTACAAATAATGAGTACAAAATTATAAAACATTTAGAAATGCATAAATACTGTATCGAAATAATCATTAAATATACATATATTTTTATCAGGTTTATAAAACATAGAGGGTAAAAAAGCTCAAATGTTAGTCAGGCTTTTTTTTTGGTTTATAACATTATTCTTTTGTTTACAAGTTTCTTTGTTTTGTAACAAAGAAACTTTGTTACAACTTAATGGTGACAACATATTAATTTTATAATTCAATATGTAGCCCTCTATTAATATATACTTTTTTTACATTAGTGGGTCATTTTTAAATACATTCTTTCATATACAAGAGTCCAAATATGCACAAAGCCATGGCTCAATGCTATAAAGAATACATTTGCATACAGTAGGGTCACTGCCCTTATGGATAAAGAACGTCAGGAGAAAACAATACATAAACTTTCTTAGATCCTAAAGCGAAGTATTTGTGAACCTGAAAGCCCTAGTCTTGATGCAGAAATATGGAAATTAAGAATTCCAATTGGCTGTATATACTTAAGATTTTCATTTCTAAAGAGAAAGAACATCAAAATATCTTGCAAGAAATCTCACAGGCCCTGGAAAATACACTGCTTCCCGGGTCAGTCTCAAATACTCAGAAGCCTGATTTTTGTCCATGAATAAATAACTGTATTAGTAGATTTTCACACTGCTATAAAAAAAGTCCCCAAGACTGGGTAGTTTATAAAGGAAAGGGGTTTAACTGACTCTCAATTCTGCAGGGCTGTAGAGGCCTCAGGAAGCTCACAATCATGGCAGAAGGGAAAGCAAACATGTCCTTCATCACATGGTGGCAGGAAGAAGTGCTAAGCAAAAGGAGAAAAGCCCCTTATAATACCATCAAATCTCATGAAAACTCACTATTAGGAGAACTGCATGGAGCTAACTGCCCCCATGATTCAGTTGCCTCCCACTGGTTCCCTTCCACAACATGTGGGGATTATGAAATCACAATTCAAGATGAGATTTGGGTGAGGACACAGCTAAACCGTATCACTGACAATAGATTCTTCTCTCAGGGGAAGACTCACATTTATCAATATCGCTAGACTAATGTATAATTTCACAATCCCAAGTTACTAAATTGTATACATATCTCTCATAACACTCATAATATTCACACCCAAATGACAATGCCATTTTCTCCATAGCCAATGTTATTATTATACAAGAAATATTAAAAAAGAGAATACATTTTTTTAATAAAAAGACTAGTCTCACTTTAGATAAAGCTATTTAGAATTAATCTACACTTTAGAATCAAGTTTGCCTGCAGTCATCTTATAATATGGATGCTTTGCCAGAAGAGCTGCAAATAGTGTGAAATTACTTTGAATCCATTGGGTGAGGCCATCACTTATCTATGGAAATCCCTTTTAAAAAAACATTATTTTTTATTTCAATTAGTCTTTGGGTAAAAGGTGGTATTTGGTTACGTAAATAATTTCTTCAGTGGTGATTTCTGAGATTTTGGTGCATCCATCACCCAAGCAGTGTACACTGTACCCAATGTGTAGTCTTTTATCCCTTATCCACCTCTCACCCTTTCATTATATCATCCTTATGCCTTTGAGTCCCCATAGTTCATTGTATCATTCTTACGCCTTTAGTCCTCATAGCTTAGTTCCCAATTATGTGATAACGTACAATATTTGGTTTTTCATTCCTATGTGACTTCTAGAATAATACTTTCCAGTTCCATCCAGGTTGCTGCGAATGCCATTATTTCATTCCCTTTTATGGCTGAGGAGTATTTCAGTGTGTGTGTGTGTGTGTGTGTGTGTGTGTGTGTGTGTGTGTGCATATGTGTATATATATATGTATATATATATACGTATATATGTGTGTATATATATATATATACACACACATATATATACACACACACACACATATATATATATCACATTTTCTTTATCCAGTTGTTGATTGATAGGCATTTGGGCTGGTTCCATATATTTACAATTGCAAATTGTGCTGCTGTAAACAGGCATGTGCAAGTATCTTTTTCATATAATAACTTTTTTTCCTCTGAGTAGATACCTAGTAGTGGGATTGCTGGGTCAAATGGTAGATCTACTTTTAGTTCTTTAAGGAATCTCCACACTGTTTTCCATAGTTGTTGTACTAGTTTACATTTCCACCAAGAATGTAAAAGTGTTCGCTTTTCACCACATCCATGCTGACATCTATGATTTTTTTATTATGGCCATTCTTGGAGGAGTTAGGTGGTATCACATTGTGGTTTTGATTTGCATTTCCTGATAGTTAGTTATGTTGAACATTTTTCTGTATGCTTGTTAGCCACTAGTATATCTTCTTTTGAGAATTGTCTGTTCATGTCCTTAGTCCACTTTTTGATGGGATTTTTTTTCTTCCTGATTTGTTTGAGTTATTTGTAGATTCTGGATGTTAGCCCTTTTTCAGATCTACGGATTTTGAAGGTTTTCTCCCACTCTTTGCATTGTCTATTAACTCAGTTGATTATTTCTTTTGCTGTGCAGAAGTTTTTTAGTTTAATTAAGCCCCATCTATTTATCTTTGTCTTTCTTGCATTTGCTTTTGCGTTCTTGGTCTTGAAATCTTTGCCTGAGCCTATATCTAGAAGGTTTTTCCTGTGTTATCTTTTAGAATTTTTTGGTTTCAGATCTTTGAATTATCTTGAGTTGATTTTTGTATAAGGTGAGAGATGAGGATCCAGTTTCATTCTTGTACATGTGGCTTCCCAATTATCCCAACACATTGGTTGAATAAGTTGTACTCTCAGTTAACCCAACCCTTTGCTTCACCAGGCGGTCTTTCTCTACCTGCCCTGGTTGCCAAAGACAAAGGACATAATCTCTTGGGAGCTGTATAGCACCACCTACCGTCTGATCCTCTCTATACAACTGCAGCTGATGCACTCTTGAAAGCACCACCTCCTGGGCTGGAGGCCAACCAACACAAAACCAGTGCACTAAACAAAAATACAACTAAGGATCCTCACAGGGTCCACTTCGCTCCCCTGCTACCTCCACTGGAGCAGGTGCTGGTATCCATGGCTGCAAAACCTGAAGACGGATCCCATCAGAGAACTGTTTGCAGATACTCCCCAGTACTGGCCTGGAGCCTGTTAGTTTCACTAGGTGGCTAGACCCAGGAGAGCGAAAACTATCACTGCAATTCAGCTCTTAGGAAGCCCCATCCCTAGGGGAAGGGGAGAACACCACATCAAGGGACAAAAAAAATCTCTGAACAGCAGCCCTTGTGTCCCAGAACTTCCCTCTGACATAGTCTACCCAAATAAGGAACCAGAATGGCAATTCTGGTAAAATGACAAAACGGTTCTTTAAAACCCCCAAAAGATCACACCAGCTCACCAGAAATGGATCCAAACCAAGACGAAATCTCTGAATTCCCAGAAAAACAATTCAGAAGGTCAATCATTAAGCTAATCAAGGAGGCACCAGAGAAAGGTGAAGTCCAACTTAAAGAAATCAAAAATATGATACAAGATATGAGAGGAAAAATCTTCAGTGAAATAGATAGCATGAACAAAAAACAGTCACAACTTCTAGAAATGAAAGACACACTTAGAAAAATGCAAAATGCACTGGAAATTCTCATGAGTAGAATTGAACAAGCAGAAGAAAGAGCTTCAGAGCTTGAAGACAGGCTTTCACATGAATCCAGTCTATCAAAAACAAAAAGAATTTAAAAAATGAACAAAGCCTGCAAGAAGTTTGGGACTATGTTAACTATCTAAACCTAAGAATAATTGGTGTTACCAAGGAAGAGGAGAAATCTAAATGTCTGGAAAACGTATTTGAGAAAACAATTGAGGAAAACTGCCCCAGCCTTTCCAAAGATTTAGCCATCAAAATGCAAGAAGCTTAAAGAACACCTGGCAAATTCATTTCAAAAGGATTATCACCTAAGCACTTAGTCATCAGGTTATCTGAAGTCAAGATGAAGAGAAAAGTTCATAGCATTAAATACCTACATCAAAAGATCTGAAAGAGTACAAGTAGAAAATCTAAGGTCCCATCTCACAGAACTGGAGAAGCAAGAACAATCCAAACCCAGCAGACGAGAAGAAACAACAGAAATCGGAGCATAACTAAATAAAATTGAAACAAAAAAAATATACAGAGGATAAGTTAAAAAGCTGGTTCTTTGAAATGATAAAAAAATTGATAGACCATTAGCAAGATTAACCAAGAAAAGAGAGAAGATCAAAATAAGCTAAATTATAAATTAAATGGGAGCTATTACTACTGATACCACAGAAATACAAAAGATTATTCAAGGCTACTGTGAACACCTTTATGCGCATAAACTAGAAAATCTAGAGGAGATGGAAATCACTTTTTGACTCACCCATGGATGATAAATGATCACTGGATGACTGGTTACACCCCTTTCTGACTTGTATCTTTGAGTGTTAGTATATTCACACTGAATTTGGAACTATTCTGTTTCTGAGGTGACTTTGCATATGTCTTCTCTAATTTATTATAGATTAATTTTATATTTTAACTCACCGAAGGTACTCCTACTTGTCTTATTTCTAACATTTTTAAAACCTCACATATATAAACTGACAACAGAAAAATTACTGTTGCTCTTCTTAAGTGAAATAACTAAAACTACTGCAACCATACAGGTATGAGTATTATGGAAAGTTGTTTCTGTTGATTATTGTTGCTCTAAAAAAGAGTCCGATGATAATGTTAACAGCTGCTATTTCAACTTACCTAGTGAACAATAATATTTTTTTCATACCATTTACAGGTCCTTAAGGACTAACTGACAGGCATTGTGCAATGCATAAATGGTTCTTCTTGACACTGTAAAAACTGACAATCAGAGAGCAAGTAGTTAAGCTTGTGAGTGAAGTAGTGGTACATAAATCTACAGATACACTTCAAAAGTACTTGAAAATCTGAAGACTATTGAGAGATTCTGTGCCAAATAATTAAGGAAAATCTGATAATTTGAAATAGTTAAAAGGCAAATGTGAGAGCAGCGTTATCTTGACCAGAAAATTGGTTTAATATAGTCCAACAAAAAGAAGCATCTTGCATATAATATAGTCCTATGCACTCAAGGAATTTAAATAGCAGATAATACATGTGACATATTGGTATGACTAAATAGTGGGTTGGGAGGGGGAAGTGAATGAATGGCTTGGAATGTTGTGAATTTAAGGCTTTCTATTCCAGGAACCTTGGGAGAATGTGCTATGTTTATATTCCTGACTGAGTTTTATATATATATATATATATATATATATATATATATATATATATATATGTATATAACTGAGTTATAACTGTAAACTGATCTCTCTGCTTGAGCAAGGTCTTTCAAAGGGATGCCTTATTAGAGAGAATGAGGGTTTTCTGGATAAGAATAAGTAAATCCAGTCATTTTACAGATGAAACTGAAATTCAAAGAAACTGTCTAGCTTTCTAGAGTTTCTAGATAAGAATAAGGAAATCCAGTCATTTTACAGATGAGGTAACTGCAATTCACAGAAACTGTCCAGATTTCTAAAGTTTCCAAGCATGTAAGAGATTGATATAATCATATACACTCGATAAACTAATTGACTGTAAATAGGATGAGAAGGTATAGCTTTAAAGAAAAATTCATATGAAATATTAAATAGTATGAAATGACAAGTTTCATTAGAAACTGCATTATGAAGTGATTTCCCAATAATTATATGAAGCATATACAACATAGAGGAATTTTAGATCTAGAATGTAGGTTTTAAGACTTTCTCTGAAAGCAGCATTGTCAAACTGATTGTGTCACATTTTATAGTTTCTAGCATGAGCTCTCAAACAAGGCTCTCACAAACTAGAATCTTTCTCCTCAAGGAGTTCATGGCCAAATAGACAAGCAGGCACTATTGGCAAAAGATATCACTTATAAGCCAAAACCAAGTATTAGAAAGGAGAATAAATCAGCAGCTATGTATTAAAGTCAAAGGAAAACCAGGTAAAATTGTAGAAAGTGGCAAAAAGTAGACATATATCAGTAATCTGCTTTTCTGTGTCTGTTAGCTCTTAAGTTAAAATCTGCTTGGATTCAGTTTTATTACATTGATTCATTTGTTTAAGTGTAGTTTTTTGGCCTCAATCTCCCATCCTACATCCAGCTAATTTTTTGTTAATTTTGAATATTTACAGCCTCTAGATAATATCTCTTAGATATTAATTAGGCCAGTCTCTAATTAAAAGTGAATGAAACCTAAGTGGACAACCTAAGTTGATCTAATTTGAAATAAAACTGAGCGGATCATACATTTTGCTGACAAGAGAAATACCATTAAAAAAAAAGTCGTAGATTTTATGCAAAAAAGGACTTAAGAGGCCAGGCACAGTGGCTCACGCCTGTAATCCCAGCACTTTGGGAGGCCGAGGTGGGTGGATCACGAGATCAGAAGTTCAAGACCAGCCTGGCCGATATGGTGAAACCCCGTCTTTACTAAAAATACAAAAATAAGCTTGGCATGGTGTTGCATGCCTTTAGTCCCAGCTACTCGGGAGGCTGAGGTTAGAGTATCGCTTAAATCTGGGAGGTGGAGGTTGCAGTGAGCCAAGATTGTGCCACTGCAATCTAGCCTGGACAACACAGCGAGACTCTGTTTCAAAAAAAAAAAAAAAAAAAGAACTTAAGATACATCATGTGGTTAAAACAATACAAAAACAAAAACAAAACATTTGACTATGACTAGAAATCGGGTGACCTTGATTCAAGTCCTGGCAATATCAGTGGTTCCAAAACTTAGTGAATCATCAGAATCATATTTCCATGTCCCACCAGCAGAAGTTCCCAATTGAATAGCCTTACAGTGGGTCTGTAACTTGTCAGCCAACCGCTACCTTCCCCTCTAAACATACAACTCTGCAGGTGATTTTGATAATCAGATTAGGGGATCATTAAGTTAAATGATATTGTGCACTTAACTTTACGTGTAATGGTAAGAGATGATTTCTAAAGGGATTTTTGAACTGCATATTTTATGACTCAGATACACTTCTTGCTTTGTCCAGGGGTTTCTTCTAGAAAATGCTTGACAAATCATCATTCACCTTCACTCAAAGAGAGCTCATTCTCTCTGGAGGCTAGTTGTTCCATTGTTGAAAGCTTCTTTTTCTGAGCCAAAATGTTGCAACTTCCATTGATTTGTCTGGGTTCTACCCTTTGAAAAAATATATACCCTTGTCCAACTGATAGTGCTTCAAATGCTGAAAGACAGGGCTCCCACATGGAGGCAGTAAAGTCTGTCCTACCAGAATGAACACCAGGACCCACAAAGCAGACCTGGGCCTTAGCCTCCCAGATAAAAAGAAGAAAATGGTCAAAGAACCAGAGACTCAATACTGAATTTTAAACAATGATGATTATTTTACTGATGTTTCTCCTGTAAGACTCGCACTCCCTCTAAGAATGTGGTCCAAGGGTAGGTACCTGAGATGCCTCTAGTGAAGAAAGAAAAGAAGAAAAAAAAGGGCCTCATCCCCCTTTGCAAGGAACCACCTAAAACCTGCGACCACACTGCATACCAGACAAACAGAGAAGTCACTCACCCTGGGAAGCAGTCCCTGGGTCACTCAGAGTTCCTCAGCAGGGAGAAGAAAAAGAAGAGGAAGTCACCTCTGTTCATATCTCATGACTCTGAGTTGAAAAGTTCCTCATGCCCCAGACATGGTGAAAAGGAGACCAGAGTTAGCAAGAATCTCGGAAAAGGAAAAAAAAAAAGGGGGGGCCCAGGACTCCACAGCCTTTTCAGTCTGGTTCTACAAGGCCACGGTTGCTGTGTAAACTTGCTGTGAGGGGAAGGAGGGCCAGAAGCAGGCAGCCTTAGGCAGAAATGGAAGCCAGGAACCCCAGGGAGCACAGCAGGAAGATGAAGAAAAAAATCCAGCAAGAGGGAGACACCCTCCTAGGCCACCCCAAGCCCTCCGGGTGAACGGAGAGCAGCCCTAGGAAAGAAAGTAAAAAGAAGCCAGTTAAAATGGAGGCTCCAGAATATATCCCAGCAGGAGATGGCCTTCAAGCCCAGTGAAAAAGAAAATGAAGTTCAAGAAAGAGGTAGAGCCACTAATCACTGAGCAGCTGGCTCTGAAAAGGAAGAAAAAGAAGAAGAAAAGTGGGGTAGAAGGAGACCCTGGGAAGTAGTAACCATACACAGATTTGGAGGTGATGTTGGAAAAGAGGCTACATGGATGAGGCACACATAGACCAGGTGAGGTGAGAGCCCTTGCAAGAAGACACCCATCATGAAGAGGACAATACAGACGCTTCCGAAACCAGGAAGTGGACAGGAACCCATTTTGGCCAGTGAGATACTGCTGGTTTTGAGAACAAGGAACAGAAACTGAAATTTCTCAGACTTACGAGTGGCTTCGAGAATCTGCCCTCTCTGTTCAGCTGCTCCATCAGCATGGTTTTGAGGCCCAAAATTGCCCTCAGCAAGAAAGCAACCAAAAGCCTGCAGCAGAGCCTGCAGCAGGACAGCAACCAAACCTTCCACTGGAAATACAACTGAGGAATTGGCCTTGGTTTCTCCACTTCCCCAAACAGAATATTTTACATTGATAGGAAAGCTTCCAAATCAATCAAGTTGGAAGATTAAACTCTAGTGTTTTGTTCCCTAAAACAGCCAGAATTGCTTTATTATTCATTTGTGGAGACGAAAGCCACCTGGCAGTTGTGTCACATCAAACTCCTTTGGAGATTAAAGACAAGGACAGCTATCTTGATGGGCTCAAAAGAACTAGGGCAGGGGTAGCTCATGTTTCAGGAGCCAAGAGAACACGTGAGTGGCTAAAATCTATTTTTTGTATTAAGCATTACATTCCTGTTTGAGACAACAGTATGTATAAATAACATTTGTTGAGTGTGTAGCATGTGCTAGGCACATACTAAAGTGTTTTCCTTGCACTAATACATTTAATCTTCATAGTTATGACATGGGTGCTATTATTATCCCCATCTTACAGATAAGGTAACTGAGGTTCAGGGATAAAGTAATAAAATCTCCCAGGGTCACCCCCTCAAAAAATGCTTAAAGATAGACCTTACATCTTTCCTACATAATTTTGTCTCCAGATTTAAAAAGATGTAAAGATTATGGCCAGAAAAAGAATACATTTTCTTCTGGATAAGCAACTTAAAGTGGGACAAGTTCACAGAATCAAGATGTTGTTTCACTAGAAAAGAAGAAAAATCAGTGAAGTAATTTGGCAGTCTTGTATCAATACAAGCATTTGAAGGAAATCTTGCTGAGGAGAAGGTTGAAGAAAATTGTTGGAGTGTTGCAGTCTACCAACAGATGGGGTGTGGTAAATTCCTAGTGAAGAATAGAAGATTGACAAAAATATAATGAGGGTTGCACACATTTTAGTGATTTTAAAAATTAAACTGTGTGGGCTGTAGCATATTTTTAAAAAATCATGTTAGTGTTTTGAATATCCTGTTTCTATTAAGAAAAAGTAATCAAATTAAGTCAATATCCAGATTGTTCTTATATACAGTCAATTGAATGTACTTATATTCATATACAATGTTAAAAAATTCATTTACATAAACAATAATAAGAAGGTCTAAAAAAGGATAAAGAAGTTGTGGTAGAATTCTCTTTAACTATAAGCTCTTGATCACAGTAAAAATAAATTATACACTAAATCCAAGAATGATATAAGCAGTAGATGCCCTCTAATATTTAAAAGGTGGCAAATAAAAGTAAATTCAATTTACCTTTTAGGGAAAGGATTATTAAACTTATTTCAAGTGGTGCTGTTATTTGTTACCCACATATGTATGTATAATCAAGGCTGCTAATACCTACAGCCTTATCACTTCTTTGTATTTCATAATACAATTTTTATTTTTATTTATCGAGTTTTCTGTTATTTTACACAAACTTGCTACTATCTTCACCACTTTTTCCAAACTATTATTACACACTTTACAAAACTGACAGGTGAAAAGTAAATCTTTTTTTCCCAAATACGTTGTAGATATTTTTGTCCCTTTACCTTATTGATCATATTTTCTTCTTGAAATTTTTACTTTTAAGATCAAAGGCTTTAAAATGCCCTGTTTTTCATTCTGTCTCTGTCTTTCCTTCTGGAGATTTCTTCTTTCATTTCTCCTTCTACAAAAAGCAAACCTATTCTTGTTTCTCTCTCATTTTTTAAAATACAAGATCAACAATAATCAGTGTTTAGTATAAATCTCTACTTCTGAACTCTCAGCCAGCTTCTAATCCCTTATCTCCAACTTTCTCCTCAACATTATCACTTAGATGTCAGACTATTATCGTATAGAATCGAAGGGTGCGAGAATTCCAGCTGACCTGGAGATCATCTACTCAAATCTCAAGTTCCAGATAAGAATATGGCAGGAAAGAATGAACATGCAGAAAGGATAAACTTCTGTATTAATCTTTGTGCTACCCTTACTGTCTGAATGACTTTGACTGTACTCCCCAGTCCCCAAATATGTATCACAATCACCTCTTGTGCCATCTTGCCTTCTCTATATTTTTAATTGGTTGATAATTATAGAGCAAATTCGTAAATTATAGACAATAGTCTATTAAGGGAAGCTAGCATTTGAGGCGGGACATGACTAATACTACAATTTTAGACCAAATATATTCGGTAACATCTTACATTGACTCACACAAAACTGTCTGTTGGACTGAGTAGAAGGCATTTTTGAAGTTTTTGAGAAGCTATAATTTGCTTTGAATTGATTGGCTCAGTTCTTGTTTGTTGATGCATTTGATGTCTCAACTATTACTCAAAACTTGGAATCTGTTCTAATAACTTTATTAAGAAAATGCCCTGATCAACTTTGGATGTCAGGAATGGCAGCGTGAGGAGTTCTGCAGAGCCAATCCCAATGCAATGCTGTTGATGACTGGCAAAAATTATTTAAACAGATGACCATTTAAAGTCTCTGAAAGTAGACCTAAGAAAAAAACAGAAAATTAATAAATACTTACTTTAGAAAATCTTCTAAATATTGGTAAGAACAATGAAAGTCAAGGAACTTGGTCACAACCTGCTCCCTCTGTTTCATGTTCCTATCCTCATCTCCATGTGATGATTGAGAGAAGCTTCAGTTTGGGAAGTGTGACTAAGAAAACAGGGTTCCCTGTCCCATCAGTTCCTAGTCAAAAGATACAGTATTTCAAGACAAGGGACAGGTTACCAGAATTTCTCTACTCCACACTCCAAGTTGCAAAGACTAAATTCCGTTTTTTGTTTTGTATTTTTTTTTTTTTAGACTTGCTCTTTTTTGAGTCTTGCTCTGTAGCCCAGGCTGGAGTGTAGTGGCACGATCTCAGCTCACTGCAAGTTCTGCCTCCTGGATTCATGCCATTCTGCCTCAGCCTCCCGAGTAGCTGGGACTACAGGCACCCGCCACCACGCCTGGCTAATTTTTTTGCATTTTTAGTAGAGACGGGGTTTCACCATGTTAGCCAGGATGGTCTTGATCTTCTGACCTCGTGACCCACCCGCCTCGGCCTCCCAAAGTGCTGGGATTACAGACGTAAGCCACCGCGCCCAGCCACTAACTTCCTAATCAGTGTGACTGAGAGTTTATGGGCTCTCTTGCTCAAACCATTCCCCATAGGACAGAGGATCTACCCTAGACATGGCAGGCTGAGAATTTTGTTGCCTGAGGTGCTTTTGCTCCTGCTTGCTCAGAGGGCAAAACCTCAATATAAGGAGAGTAAGCTGAGAAAACCAGAGACTATGACACTTACCCAGTGCTCTCCATGTGGGGAGGTATCACTGTAGGAGATTTTACTCAAGAGGATAGGCAGACAATAAGAGCAGAGAGCTCCACAGCCCTTCCTAAAGGAACTGAGAATGGAATGTTATTTGACTGTGGTAGAGATGGGCCTTTCATCTCTGAGTGGGTTCTAGAAGGGGTTCTGCATCCAATTATTGTCACGTGTCTATCAAATGTCAGAGCTCTAGACCTTGCTAGCCAGTTCTGGCAACAACAACAAAAGTCTTACCCCACCTTCTATTGCAGAGGAATTCCATGAATCACAGAAGTAATTTGGTCACAGTATATCAGGCTCATTTTATACTGCCTGTATCTAAACCCTATCCTGAACCTTTATATCACCAATTCACACTAACACACTAGATAGAGCCTTGGTCTCAATTTTAACTCATTACAAAATGCAAGTCCTTTCCAACCCAAATTACTTCTTGTATTATTGAATTGTGTCAAAACCAAAGTGTAAAATTATAGTGTTTCTTTCTTCTACAAAAGGTTTTTACGAGTAGCAGATCTGCCTCTTTAGATAAAAAAGAAAGTAAATTTAATAATTAATGTGAGGGTATGTATAGTAAAGCTGTCCATTGCCTCTATTCCAACCTTTATTGGTTCCTTCTTTCAAGTGAAATAATTTTTTCCATGAACACTTTCTCTCACTGAGAAATCCTAACCAACAATCTGCTACATATTTCCTCTTAATTTTTTTGACTCATTTATAATACCACGTTTCTTTAATGAAAATCATAGTCTTTAGATTCAGCAGTAATTCTCTCACAAAAGTATTTTGAAAGAATTTAAGAGCCATGTAGTTTAAGAAAATACATTTAAAAATTCAAGAATATTTTTGAAGTGTTTTACAGTAATATCTAATTATCTTTCTATATATATGGATTTATTTATTTATTTGATTTGGGAAGTAGAAGTTGGTATTTCCAGACAAAAACAAAGCTTACAAGTTTTTTTCTCTTTCTTCAGATGAGAAAATTCTTGTCATAAGTATGACAAGAAAATTCTTGTCATAACCAAGTGTTCAATTTAATTTATAGAAAGCATGTAGGCAAATACCCGGGAATTGAAAACATGTAAAGTAACATCAATTATGTTAATTATTTTAACTACTTTAGAAGAACTTTTTAAAAGTATTCCAGAAGGCTTTATTCTGCATTTACCTTATACTCTACTGTCCTTATTTTATTCTATTTCCATTGAGTTTTATCATTTCTTCTAGCTACAATTCACATTTTAAAAATTTCCACCAGTGACATCATGAAAGCTTTTGCCTAAATTGAGAAATTAATTGGTATAGCAAAGGAAACTGCTTTTTCCCTTTTTTCAAACTTAAATCCAGATGTAAATCCTATATTTTACTTTATATAGTAACTACGCAGTAATTTTTTTAGTCATTAATAAGATGATATAATGGGTTATCTATCCATTTTCCCATGTAAACTTTAGTTTTATATATATATATATAAATATAGTTATGTATAACTTTATATATTTTATAAACTTACATATATTTTATAAATATAATTAGTTACATATGTAAGACTGAAGTTTATATATAACCATATATAACTTTATATATAACTTTATATGAAGTATATACAAACTTTAGTTATATCTATAACTAGTTATATATAAAATATATAATAGAATATATAAAATATATATATTCTATAATATATAAAATATATATATTCTATAATATATATAAAATATATAATAGAATATATAAAATATATATTATATATAAAACTAAAGTTTACCTCAGGATATAGATTAATAAAACATATCTGATTATTAATAATTACTAAATAATGGCTAAATAAATACACATTTGCTTCTAGAACGGCTGCAAAACCTGATCATTAAGGCAATCCTTATTAGTCCATAGTATTTATCATATAAGCTACATACTTAGCAGTTCATCATATTTATTATATAAGCTACATGTTACCTGATGAGAATAGCAAATAATAAAGAATAGGACGTGAAACTGTGTAGATTCGTCCATTCTCCAGTGAATTTTTTTATCATAGGTTGGCTTCCCTGGGAAGCAAGTTCTGATACAGAGTGTTGGGGGAGGAAATTTATCATTAGCCCTGAGTGATCCTGTAAGTTCTTGTTACATGTGCCAAGAGTGTAGAGCCCCAACTACTCTTTATAGAAGCCATTTCTCAGAATTATATATACAGTGAGTAATCTTGAGGCATGGCAAAACATTTCCCTCCATGACACAGGGCAGGCTTTCTCACTTCCTGTTATATTTCCGAAGTTTATTGTTCCTCCTTTGTAAGGTAGTATACATATGTGCAGACATCTCTTTGGGCCCTTCATTTTGCCACTGTTAGACTTTAGAGGAATGGGTAGAACTGATAATTTTATTCTCATGCTTCTGACTGTACCATGATTGATAACACCATCTGCCTCTGAACCAGAAGTCTTGTGTCTTTTTCCAGCATTTATAGTAAGACTAACTTGTTAGCTTATAAGTAGGGTACAATTATGTTTCAAACCCTGATAAAGAGATTTATACATAGAATGGTGATCAGAGAGTATTTTTTACAGGAGAGCTATTAAAGAAAAATTGGCCAGAAGGAGGAGTTGGGATTCAGTCACACCAAAGATCTCAATCAATGCTACAAAGAACTTGGGAACTGAGATGACCCTGGAGAGATATTGAGACAAGATGTCCTGGCCTTTCTATTCTCACATCAAGCGGCCTTTACATATGGCCTGCCCCCAAGTAGGAGGCACAATCCTGGGCAATATGGCTTTCTTTATCTGAAGGCAAGAAAAGTAATGAAAATCGGGCAGTGTACCTCAACATCCACTATAGCAGCAAATCAGAAAGATCAAATGAATAGCCTCTGTTAAAACAATGAATTCCCTTGGAAACATATAATATTTCTCTATCATGCAATGGCATTTGTGAGTTTTAAAAATACTTTTCTGAGTTACAACACTTTAAAAAATTCTAGATTGCATGTGTGAATTTACTCAAAATAGTTGCTTTGGCAAGTTTTCTGACTCCTACTTTGAAAAAACTCCACTTTGAAAGAAAAACATAATTGTGCCAGTGTATCAATTATCAACTAATCTACCAATAATTTCTTTCTGAATTAAATCTTGCCTACTTTATCATTCACCTGAACACTTTGGTAATTTATTATATAATATCTGGACAACTGAAGTATGCTATCCAAGCACATGAATTACAGTTCCAGAAAACCTAGATTAGAATTCTCACCTAAACTCTTAGTTTTGTTCTATTTTGGGCACATTGCTTTAGTTTGTCTTTGCTACAAATTTCTATTCAGTACAGTGTGGATAATAACTATTTAGACCGAAGGGTTGTTGTCAACATTTGAGATATTCCTCTTGGCTGTGTGATGTGAAAGGATTAAGCCCTCAATAAATCTTAATCATCATTATTATGCCTTATCTTAGGTTATGCCTGGACTCAAAAGCTTTCCCTTCTTCTTCTAAGGAACACTTATGCAGTTAAATCCTTGGACTTACTTCGTCACCTGAATCTGCCTACTGGGCTTTAATGGTATGGGCAATGTCTTATTTAACAATGCTTATTAAAGTGCCTGACACACAAAATGAACGTAACTACTTGTTGAAAGAATGAATGAATGAAATAATAAATTTTTCCCTTTGCTAGGTTTGATGCAGAAACATAAGTTTATACTTAGACATCTTGATAGCAAATGAAGATAAAAAAAGGCTGTCAGTAAACATGGCTTAAGAAACAAATGTATCTGAGTACAGTGCTGATAAATGTCTGTAAATGTTTGTTCAACAGAAGATTCCTAATATCACACATATGGTGTTCTTACCGCTTGATGCACTTGAGAGCAAATTTCCCTACCCTTTCTTAAAATAGTGATAGGTTTAACAGCTGGCAGGGACTAAAAGAGTAAGACAATTTTTGTTTATTATTCAAGGTGATCAGTACATTGATATATGAATTCACATATGGTAGCACTTAAGGAAGGACACTTGGTTTCTTTCGAAAAACATCATGGAAGAGGTGGCGCCTAAGCTAGAACTTGAAGAGTAAGCAAAACTGATTGAGATAAGACACGTATAGAAGATAAGGTTTTAGGGAAAGTGTTCCAGGTAGTCATATAAGTAATATGTGCAAAGTAGGGTATGTGAGTGAGAGAACTTACTTGGAACTCTAAGTACTAAAGCTCATTATGGTGAAAAATGAGTAAAGGGAAAGGGAGAAGAGAAGTGAGAGAGAAGATGGGGGGAGGTCTTTATTTGATTTTCTCTAAAGCAGAGCCTGAGCCAGGGACTTGGACACAGACACTTTCTTTGGAGGTGTTCCCAGGAAGCAAAGGTGAAAGGACAGGAAGGGTAACAGGCAAGAAGGAAAAGGTAATGTATGACTAAATTATCAAGGTTACTCCTTTTTACGGTGGGGTCCATTTAACCAGCCCCCTTGAGAACAGTAAATAACACCACCCAGAATTATCTTCCTGCAGGAAAGGAAGCTACTGCATTTACCTGTATGCATTCAACCTCTATCAACTGAAGTTGTCCTGAGGTATTAACTCCCTCATATTTCCAGGGTGCACCTAGAAGACTTGCCAGCCTGGCAACAACTTCTACTGTAGGAAGAGAGGCACTAGGCTGGAAAGCAAGTGAAAGACTTGCTGTGTCCACTTGATATTGGATGCTGCTATCATGAGATGAATTGGTGTTTACATAAACTGTCCTTAGCTGCAGCTGAGATCACAGATGGGCTAAGGGGATATGATATGGGGCACAAAGGTGTCTGCTCCAGATCAATAAGCAGAGGCCAGGCCATGATAAGCCTTGTTAGGGAGCTTGCAATTCACCTGTTTACCTTATGAACTGAACCATTTAGAGTAAGAGAGCAATGTGACCAGATGTAGATTTTTCTGAGTATCATAAAACATCATCATGCCCTTGACATAAGTACATATGATAGTTAAGAATACCAAGTTCCAGTTCATGTTAATTTTTAAAAGATCACATGATATGATACCTAAGACCTGCTAATCTGGAGGAAAAAATGTTATTTTTAAAATTTTTTTTTTCTTGTCCATTTTTATACCAGCAGGTTAAAAACTCCTCCAAATAGGAAATTAAATATTAGTTATTAACGTGGAATAGTTCTAACAAATATTTTGCTATTAAAAAGTGATACATTCCCTCAACGTATTAGTAAACAGTTGCTGTATAAAACACATTATTGAAATATAGTGACTTAAAACTGTAATTACTTATTGTTAGTCTCCATGTTAGCTAGGAGCCAGCTGATTGAGACTGGGCTTGACCGTAGCAATGCTATTCCATGTGTCTTTCATCATTCTCCCAGGCCAGTGGGCTGGCCTAAGCACCTTCTTTTTCCAGACCTGACCAACTTAAGAAAAACAAAAAAAAGCAGGAACATACAAGGACTCCGAAGGCCTGGACTTAGAAATGGTTCACTGTGACATCTGCCTCATTCTGTTAGCACAACAAGTCAGATGGCCAAGCCCAAAATCAAGGGGCAAAGAAAGAGACTCTCTGTTTAGTGAAAAGTAACATGACAAAGTGTGTATGCATACAAGGAGGGGAAAAATATAGGGTTAATAATATTATATATCACATTGTATTAGTTCGTTAGGGTTGCTGTAACAAATTATCACACATTTTATGGCTTTAAGCACTAGATATTTTAATTCTCTCATAGTTCATGAGGTCAGAAGCCCAAAACTGAAATGTTGGTGAATTAGCTCCTTTTGGAGGCTCTGTGGAGGAATATTTCAGGCATCTCTTCTGCTTCTGATGACTACAGACAATCTTGCTCTTCCCAAGCATTGTAGAGGCCTCATTCCAATCCCTGCCTTCATCTTCACGTGACCTTTCTAATTGTGTCTCAGTTTCTCCTTCTTTGTCTCTTATAAGGAAACTCACCATATTTAAGGACTAATCTAATTTAGAATGACCTTTTCTCAAGATCCTTACCCTAATTATATCAGCAAAGATCTTTATTAAAAAAATCACATTCTGCGGTTCCAGGTGGACCTATCTATTTTAGGGATTACTATGTAACTCACTACACCAATTCATTTCATATTATATTGTTTTGGGGATGTTTTACAATGCAAATCACTGCTTATAATTTAGTGTTTCAATTTAACACCTTGATTTTATATTTATTTGAAGTCATTTTAATTCCTTGATAATTCATTATTCAGTATTCAAGTACCACAGGCTTTTCAGTCTTAACTAAACCAAATTTTGATATGATTAAAATTTTTCCTATATGAAAATACTGAGTCACCTAATATATTTTGCTACTAACATGAAAATAAGATTTAACATGTGAAAAAGAAATGAATGTAATATGCAGGTTTGACTTAATTTAGATGTACAAATGTCACCTGGAATTGTTACTAAAACCTTGAACAGCTAATAATAGAAACATGACATCATATGCTTCTTAATTTTACATGTTGTTAGGGCATATTTTGGTTCTGCACACATGAATGTAATAGATATCAGTCATATATAAAACAAGTCACAAACTGATAATTTTTTACAAGTTTTGGGAGGCACACAGCAAACACTCTGTCTCTGCCTCTCTCTCTCACACACACACACAAACACACATGCAAGCAAACAAAACCTAATAATACAAATTATTTGACAGCAAACGTGTTGATTCAAACCTAAGAAATCTGAAAATATTTATTCAAATGTAGCTAAGAGGTTAGGCTGCTTATAATCTCCACTGTCTTCTACAAATAATATAGCAAAATTGTGGAATAAAGCAATGCTAGTGTGAAAGGTGTGGCCCCACACTGGTGCCAGTTTATGAACTGTGTATTACCACTCCACAAGGAGATAAAGATAAACTCAGGAGTATTGAGCCATGTTTTTAGGCATTTGACATTACCTTCACATTCTAAATGTCTGATTATAGGGCTCACCTCATTGAACAAGGTATATAGATCATTCAAGTTGCATGTGGAGTGAGCTGGATGTTAGTCATGCATATGTGGGTGATATTTATTTACCAGCTTTAACCCAGAAGTGTATTAAATGTGGAATCCGTTTATTTTGTGAAAAGATAATTTAAATTTTTAGACCTGACTACAGGTGAAGAATTGAAGGTATTTTGAGAAAGCAGCATCACTTGCATTTTGGATAATAGTTAGATGTGAATATCCTGAGCATGCTGAAATTGCTTTAAAATCTTTTACTCCATTTCCATCCACTTGTCCCTTTGAGATTGGCTTCTCTACTGTGATTCTTTTTGAAACAAAATATAGAAAAATTTTGATATAGATCATCCACTGAGCATAGTCATCAATCCAACCTGGATATTTGTCAGGTTATGCATTTTAAATATTGATATATGTGGTATTCATTCAAACTGTGAGAACGGACATTTAATATGGAAATCATTATTTTACCTATAACCTATCTTGAAGTTAGAATTTTCTAATGACAAAAATTATAAGTTTAATAGCAATTATCTATATTAATTTCCTCTATGGATACTTTTAATAAACAGCATGCAAATTTTACATATTTTTTCTTTTTTCTCATTTTTGTTATATTTATTGAAACATTGCACTGTCTAGTGAATTTATTTAAAAAATTGGGTATATGAAAAGTTATTGATCTTTGCATTTTCAGCTTTTATTTTCCCAGTAATACTTTTTTATTTTTGTGATTTAAAGGTGTATTGGTCCACAGTGGCTTGGTATTTAAAATAAAATGGTGAATAGTTTGAGATGCAATATGGTAGATGACTTGACTAGATTTTGGGAATTGTCCAGAAATAAGTAGTATACTGAACAATTCTGAAAAGATAGTGTAATCAATAACAGTACTCCAAGTGTCAAAAATACATGGAAAGTTGGCCAGGCACAGTGGCTCATGCCTGTAATCCCAGCACTTTGGGGGGGCCGAGGCAGACAGATCATGAGGTCAAGAGATTGAGACCATCTGGTCAACATGGTGAAACCCCGTCTCTACTAAAACTACAAAAATTAGCTGGGCGTGGTGGCGCGCACCTGTAGTCCCAGCTACTCGGGAGGCTGAGGCGGGAGAATCATGTGAACCCGGGAGGTGGAGGTTACAGTGAGCCAAGATCATGCCACTGCCCTCCAGCCTGGAGACAGTGTGAGACTCCGGCTCCACAATAAAAAAATAAAAAGGAAAGCTATAATAACTGACAAGTATAGGGACAACATATTCAACAATTTGTTATAATGGTACTCAGAATTATATGAATATACATAATCATAATTTTTGGCTCATCAATAACACTTAAGTCTTTTTGATTTTGCACATGAAATATTCAAACCAACATATCCTAATTTAGTACTTCACAAGGAGTACTTGACGGTAATATCATCAAAGAAGTGTCATGTTACCAAGGAAATAAGGGATTGTTTTCCTAATTACTTTTTCCATCAAAAGTGGTTTAGAATTGCTCTTCCTATTGGCAAATAAAACATTAAAATATAGCCATTAGATGCTGCTGTATTTTACTGTTTTAGAAGTAAAAATTCAGAAAAACACCTTATTTTAGAAAGGCATAATGGTGTAGCAGTTTATAAAAATTGATCCCTTTCCAATTGTTAACAGGCAATAATGACAACATATAGGTAGAATTTTTGAGCATATGAAATATATTAGACATCCACTACACACACACCCTTTATTTGCATAGATTCCTTTTGATGCCCCAAAGAAGGCTGTGATTTGGGTGCTGTGATGGTCTTTTGATTTGTCACCTTGTCTAGTCTACAGCCCTCAGTTATTCAACCAAACACTAACTGTTGCTATGAACGTATTATGTAGATGTGAGACAGCTGACGTTAAATAAAAAGATTATTCTAGATAATTTTTTGGCCCTGAATCAATCAGTAGAAAGGTCTTAATAGAAGAGCTGAGGCTGTCTTGATGAAGAATTTCTGCTTTTGTATAGTAGTTACAGCCCATGCCTGAGAGCTTTTCCCCCCTGTGGAACTTATACTTGCCTAGGCCACCCAAAATTGTGTACGCCAATTCCTTTGTATGTGTGTGTGTGTGTGTGTGTGTGTGTGTGTGTATGTGTATGTGTATGTGTGTGTGTATATATATGTGTGTGTATGTGTAAATGTGTGTGTGTGTGTGTGTGTACACACACACATATATGAGAACTCTGACTATTTCAGGGACTATTACCATACCCATTTTATAGAATATAAAAAGTTAAATTCCTTATCTAGGGTGGAGTTAACTTACAGGGGCTGGGATAAGGAACTGTACCTTTACTAACAAGTGCAGAGCTTACACCCTTAAAAACCATGTCCTAATATCTTCTAGAATAAAGGGTGTGAGTTATAAATGAACAGTATTTAGGGTTATACGTGATCAGCAGACATTTCACCTGGCTTCCAACCATTCCTTAGAAATGAAGAAGTGGACCTTGATATCAGACAGAGCTTTTAACATATTCTTTAGAGTATGTTGAAAATAGAAAACAGTTTACTGAATATAGTTCTCATTAGTGAAAGTGGGCTAAGACAGGCCCAATTTTTTTCAGGCTATAATCAGACTCTCATAAGAAATGGTATATATAGATATCTGGAGTGGGAGGATCCTATTCTACTATTACTGTTAAGATTCTGGCAAAGACTATAGCAGAAAAGACATATTTAGCTCTTCCATTCCTCTTCCCAGCTCCCCATTTAGAATTCTGCTTTTCAGTTTGGGTATAATGTGCATTTTGCCTTCAAAACGACTTTTTTCTATTTATCTCCACAACAACTCTAAGAAATAGTGTTGTTATTTTCTCTTTTTGTCAGCCATGAAATGTAAGACTTAAAGAAAATAAAAATAGGCTTGCTTAAGGTCATAGAGCCAGTAAGTGACCAAATCAAAATGTAAAAGCAGTTTTTCCAAGTCCATTCTACTTTTATGCACCTGCATTTTATTATCTTTCAGGCAGTGTTTCTTTCTTCCATGTTTCTAGACGACCCAATCTATGATTTTAGAAAGAAGGAAACACCAAGAAAAAATGTTTTACTCATGGTTCATGCAGTGGAAATGACAGAATAAACAAATTTTCCTTTTCTTTTGCTGCACAACAAATTACCACAAACTTAGCTATTTATAACAAAATCTGTTTATGAGCTCTGTTTTCATAGTTCTGAAGTCCGACATGGCATGGTTGATCAAGGTCTCAGATGGCTGAAATCAAACTGTCAACAAATGCTGTGGTTCTCATCTGGAGTGTGGGATTTTTCCCTAAATCAATGGTTGTTCTAGAATTCATATTCTTCTCATGCTTTTGACACTACCCACTCTATCTTCAAGCCAACAAGAGTAGGTCAAATCTTCCTCATACTTTGAATCTCCCTGATTTCCCTTCCATCTTGTTCTTCTGATTTTAAGGGCTCTGTACCACTAGCTGTGTATCGTTGGGGGTCATGTAAACTCTTTTTTCTTTCTTTCTTTTTTTTTTTTTTTTTTTCGAGATGGAGTCTCACTCTGTCATCCAGGCTTGAGTGCAGTGGCACAGTCTCAGCTCACTGCAACCTCAGTGTTCTGGGTTCAAGCGATTCTCCTGCCTCAGTCTCCCAAGTAGCTGAGATTAACAGGCACACACCACCACGCCAGGCTAATTTTTGTATTTTTAGAGGTGGGGTTTCACCATGTTGGTCTGGCTGGTCTCGAGCTCCTGACCTCATGGTCTGCCCACCTTTGCTTCCTAAAATGCTGGGATTACAGGAGTGAGCCACTGTGCCTGGCCATGTAAACTCTTAAGGCTTCTTTTCCTTAGATATAGAATCAGATCACTGAAATTACTTTTTTCTCCCAACAGATTACCTGACACATAGGAATCATTCTAGAGTCTCTTTTGGTCCTAAATTTAAATCATCTGAACAAGTAGCTCAGTAATAAAGATGTATTTTTTGCCAAATACGTGCCAAGATTCTCTGATTATACTCAATAAAAGTTCAGTAAATAAGAAAAAGTAAAAAGATGAATATGAGTAGTGCTTTTCAACTTATCCATATTTCACAAAGGGGGAAATTAAGCAAAACTAATAGAGCTTCTCAGATTCATGACCTCTTTGCAATACTTATGAATTTTATTAACTGTTGATTCATGTGAAACCCAGTATCTGTGATAGCTATGAGTCATGAACAGCAATTAATTAGACTGGTGTCACTCAAAAACTAAGGCCTAACAGAAGTCAATTCTGTAGAAGTCACCCACGTAGACTTTGTCATAAATTTGTTTCATATAGTTGCTGTCCTGACATTAATTTTAAAGCCTGACCTAAGTTCTTTGAAAGTCAGTTTACCTCATCACCTTTGGCCTAGCTAAAACTTCCTCTCCCTGTGTAGTTGTTTGAAATATAGCCTCATTCCACTGACCCAAACCCCATACACTCACAGCTGTTCAACATGATAAAACCTAATAGTCAAACACCAGAGTCTTGTAAATAAGTTCCTCTCTTACTGTGTGTTTTCTGTAAACTAGCCAATCCACAACCCCTGAAGGAAAGACTCCTCTTCTTTCCCTCCCCCACCAGTTGACCTCTGTACCTCCTCCAGGCTTCCCATAGACTTTGACCAGTGCCCCTAACATCTTTAGGACCTGTGAGTAATAAATTTCTTCCGTTTTATGCATTTCGATTTTACTTTCGCATTGTTTCTTACCTGAGACATACACCAAAACCTAACTCCCCTACCTACTACCCCTTTCATCTGCACTATCATAAAGAGCGGCTATCTTGGCTTCTCACCACTTTCGAGAGAGAGCCCTCAGTATCAAATTAGAAATAAGCCATAACAATGAAATCACAACTTAATACTGAACAATTAATAAATGATATTTTCAAAGCAAAAAAACTTATAGTTAGGCCTTTGTTGTTCATGGCTCCATATATTATAGGCAACCATGAAGTTAGTATTTAAAATATAGTCCTTTTTTACAATGTGTTCTTGGGAGGACATTGTCAATGGAGAACAGTTTTAAGTTGTTTTCCTACATATGTGTTGAATTTAAACCTCACCTACCAAAACCACTGTTTTAAATAAACAAAAACTTCTTTAAAAGCCCAAGTTAGCAAAATCAGTTTGCATTAACAGTATTGTGACCCTGGGAATGTAGGTATTAATCAAAATATGCTATCTTAAGGAAGACCTGAGAATAGAAATATTATGGAAAAACTTTAATGAGTTAGAGTTTCTAAAACTTCTAAACTTTGAGACACAAAGATTTATGTGTAGCTGTCTGTGAAGAGACATAGGCTCTTTCTGCTGAGTTTGCATTAATCAATATGTATCACAGGAAATAGACTCTAAAAGGAAGACTTGCATGCAGAAGGTTTATTAGGAAAGGACCTCAGGATATTCGATTTTAAGAAAGTGAAGGTAGGACTGGGCAGACTAAGAAGCTTACCTGTAATTTACCTTCAACTTAGGTCTTTGTAACCCCGTATCAACTAGTCATTGCATCCCCTGAGAGGAAGAAAAACCTACAAGACTAGACAATTCCTTGTAGTTAAGGACAATTCCCAGTGAGAGACATATCTATGACTCATCAGTAGCCAGTATTTCCAGCAGCTATAGGCTGGGTGCTATATTCGTTTTCTATTGCTGCTGTAACAAGTTACCACTTTGTTGCTTAAAACAACACACATGTATTATGTGAAAGCTCGGAAGGTCAAAAGTCCAAGATTGGTTTCACTGGGCTAAAATTAAGTGTCAAGAGGGTTTTTCACTGGAGATTCTAGGGAAGAATTCATTTTCTTTCTTCCTTTTTCAGCTTTTAGAGACCACCATCGTACCTTTGCTTCTGACCTCCTTACATCTTCCAAGTCAGCAGTAATTGCCAATCTAATTTTTCTCATGCTGCATGACTCTAACTGTGACACTTCTTTCTCCTTTTTTACTTTATTAGAAACCTTGTGATTACATTGAGCCTACCTGAATGATCCAGGATAATCGTCCCATATCAAGGTCAGTTGAGTAGCAACCTTAATTCCATCGGCAACTTTACATCCTCTTTTCCATGTAACAGACATGTTTGAGGGACTGTTAGTCCACCTACAACAGGTAAATTCATCCTGAAGAATGAGTGGCGCATACAGTATATAGTTGTCAGATTGGTGAATTAGACAGAAAAATAAATAGGGCTGCCTTTATAAATCTTTGAGAGGGGCACTAATTTCTGCCATCTTCTGCCAAAATGTGATATCTACCTTATATAGCTTAGGTAACACTCACATGCCATATACTCGGACACTGTAAATTTACATTTAAATGATTTTTGGTAAATTGATGAAGCTTTGCAGCCATCACTACAATCCAATATTAAGCATTTTCATTAACATAATAGTTTCTTCCTGCCCATTTTTAGTCCATTCTTATTCCCATAGCCAGTCCTAGACAATTATCTACTTTCTGTCCTATAGCTTTGCCATTTCTAGACATTTCATGTAAATATTATACCGTATACAGTCGTTCGTATCTGGCAAATGTGGTATGAATACAACACATTTTGTTTACTCATTTACTGGTTGATACACATTTGGGTTGCTTCCAGTTTGGGGCTGTTATGAATAATGCTAGTGTGAACATTCATATACAAGTCTTTGCATGGCCATATGCTTTTATTTTTATTGAGTAAATACCTAGGAGTGGAAAGGTAGGGCCATATGGTAGATGTACTTTTTTTCTGAAGAAACTGCCAAACTCTTTCCCAAAGTAGCTGAACCATTTTTATTCCCACCAGCAATGTGTGAGGGTTCCAATTTTTCCACTTCCTTGCCAACACTCATTTTATGTCTTTTTAATTACAGCCATTACTGTGTGTGCGGTGGTATCTCATTGTGTTCTTCAATTACATTTCCCTAATTACTAGTGATATTGAGCATCTTTTCATGTGCATATTAGGCATTCATATGTGTTCTTTGGTAAAATGTTTATTCAAATATTTCAACTATCGTTTACTTGGAATTTATGTCTTTTAAATATTGATTTGAAAATATTGATATTTTCTAGATGTAAGTCCTTTATCAGATATATGACTTATAAATATGGCTTGTATTTCATTTTATGTTGTGTTTCAAGTATAAAAGTTTCTAATGTTCATGAAGTTCAACAATATAATGTTTTTAATAAATCATATTTTTGTACTGTAGCCAAGAGATTTTTGCCTATCCAAAGGCCATAAAGATTATCTCCTAGGTTTTCTCCAGAAGTTTTATAGTATTAGTTCTTATACAATATTTACATCTGTGACCCATTTTGATTTAATTTTTGTGTATAGTGTGGGGTAAGTTGCTAAGTTCTTTATTCTTCTTTTCTGTTGTTTTTGCATAGGAATACTAAGTTGTTCTATTACTATTTCTTCAAAAGCCCATTCTCTCACCATTTAATTATCTTTGATTCTTTACTAAAAATAACCAAATTAAGAGTTTATTTCCAAACTTTGAATTTGGTCCAGTTAGTCTATATGCTTATCTGTATGTACATTATGATTACATTGTCTTTATTACTGTACTTTGAAAGTTTAGAAGTCAGGTATCCTATGCTTTCCAACTTTGTTCTTTTTAAAAATTTTTTTGACTATTTTAAAGCTATTATATTTACATAATAATTGTAATGATAGGCTTGTCAATTTCTACCCAAAAAATCTGATAAGCTCATGGAGACTTTTTTGAATCAATAGATCAATTTAGGGTGAGTTCGCAATTTGGGGAGAGATCAAAAGAATTATTGAATCTTTCTATCTATGAACGTGGGATTTTTACCAATTCATTTGGATCGTTGAACAGTTTTCCTAGCAATCTTTTATAGATTTTCAACGGACAAGGGTTGCATTTTTTAAATTAATTCCTGAGTAGTATTTTGTTTGTTGTTTTTGTGAATGGAATTTTAAAAAATTATGTTTGCAGAATATTCATTGTAAGTGTATAAAAATATAATTGATTTTTGCATATTGATTTTATTACCTGTGACCATATTAAATGTGTTTATCAAATCTAGTAGGTATGTGTATGTGATTTCCTCAGAATTTTCTACATAGAGGATTATGACATATGTGAATTAATATACATAATAAATGGTTTTGATTCTTTCTTTTGAAAGAAAGTACTAGCTAGAAATTCTTGTACACTGTTGAATAGATACAGTGAAAGTGGACATCTTTCAGTCTTTCACCATTAAGTATGATATTGATTGTAAGTTTTCTTGTTGGGTGCCTTTTAATAGTTTGAGAAAATTCTCATCTTTTTCTAATTGGCTAAGCATTTCATCAGAAATAGATGTCGGCTATGTCAAATACAGTATCTGAATCTACTGAGATGATACTGTATGCTTTTCTTCCATTATTAATATTATGTATTACATGGATTTATTTTTTGGATGCTAATATAGTCTTGCATTTTTGTGGAAATCCCAGATGATGATGGTGTGTAATCCTTTTTAAATATTACTGAATTCAGTTTGCAAATATTTTAAGAACATTTGCTTATTAGGACATTATGTATTTTCCTTTTCTTGTGATGTTTTTGTGTGATTTGGCATCAGGGAGAATCCAGCCTCAAAGAGTGATTTGGGATATGTTCTCTCCTCTATTTTTTGAGGTTCATTAAGGGTTAGCATTTTATTTTCAGTATTTTATTTTAATTTTTTGTCAGCAACACAATTCTTTTGTTTTATTAAGTATTATTAGAGTTTTATGGTCTTTAGAAACAAAAAACAAACAGTAAATATTCTGTTGAAATTATCTACTTGATAGGTCTTGATTTAAAACTTACGTTTTTTTAACTTTTCTTTTAGATTTGAGGGGGTACATTTGAGTTTGTTACATAGGTAAACTCATGTCACAGGGGTTTGCTGGACAGATTATTTTATCACCCAGGAATTAAGCCCAGTGCCTCATAGTTATCTTTTGTACTCTTCTCCCTCCTCCCACCCTCCACCCTCAAGAAGACCCCAGTGTCTGTCGTTTCCTCCTTTGCGTTTGTAAGTTCTCATCGTTTAGCTCCCACTTATAAGTGAGAACATACGCTATTTGGTTTTCTGTTCCTGTATTAGTTTGCTGAGGATAATGGCCTCCAGCTCCATCTATGTTCCTGTGAAAGATATGATCTCATTCTTTTTATGGCTGCATAGTATTCCATGGTGTGTATGTACCACATCTTCTTTATCTAATCTGTCATTGATGGGCATTTAGGTTGATTTCATGTCTTTTGCTATTGTGAATAGGGCTGCAATGAACATTCACGTGCATGTGTCTTTACGGTAGAATGATTTTTATTTTTCTGGGTATATACCCAGTAATGGGATTGTTGGGTTGAATGGTAGTTCTGCTTTTAGCTCTTTGAGGAATCGCCATACTGTTTTCCTTTACACCATGGTTAAACTAATTTACACTCCTCCCAACAGTGTATAAGTGTTCCATTTTTTCTGCAACCCCACCAGCATCGCTATTTTTAAATTTTTTAATAGTAGCCATTCTGACTATTGTGAGATGGTATCTAATTGTGGCTTTCATTTGTGTTTCTCTAATGATCAGTGATACTGAGTTTTTTTCATATGTTTGTTGGCCACATGTATGTCTTTTGAAAAGTGCCTGTTCATGTCCTTTGCCCACTTTTTAATGGGGTTGTTTGTTTTTTAGATGCAGAGTCATATCATCTGCAAACAGAGATAGTTTGACTTCCTTTCTTCTTCTTCGGGTGCCCTCTGTTTCTTTCTCTTGCCTGATTACCCTGGCTGGGACTTTCAGTACTACTTTGAATAGGAGTGGTGAGAGAGGACATCCTTGTCTTGTGCTGGTTTTCAAGGGGAATAATATTTTTAGTACTTACCAGTGTGGCCATCTAGGTCTGAGTTTGACTTTTCTTTGTTCGAAGATATTTTATTAGATTACAGTGTTTGTTATATATTTATTTTAACATCTGATTTTTTCAGTCGCTTTTGGTAATTTGCATCTTTGTAGAAACATATCCATTTAATGTAAGTTATGCAATTTGTGGGCCTAGAGTTGTTCATAGTATTCCTTTTTAATGTTTTTAATTTTGGAAGGGTTAGTGATAATGTCCCTTTTAATTCCAGATTTTAGTGATCTGTGTCTTCTCCCTCTTTTTTTTTTATTCAGACTAGCTAAATATTTGTTAATTTTATTAATCGTTTCTGAAAAACCAACTTTTGTTTTCATTAATTTTTTTCAAGTGTTTTTCCTATTTTATTAATTTTCACTTTTTTATTTCATTTCTTCTGCTAGATTCAGGTTTAGTTTGCTCTCCATTTTCTGGTTTATTAAAGTGGAAAATTAGATGATTGATTTGAAGCTATTTGTTTTTTATGACACATTGTACAAATGACAGATTTGTCTCCATGTACAGTTTTAGTGGTTTCTCATCAGTTTGAATATAACTTTATTTTCCTTTTTTTCAGCATATTTTCTATTTTCCTTTTTCTTATTTGTGTTATTGGTTAACCACAATCATCGTGTTTCCTTTCTAAGTGCTTGGTTATTTCCCTTACGTTTTCTCTGTAGCTTTCAAATTTAATCTTTTTGGCATTGGAAAATACACGTTTGTATCATTTTAATCGCTTTAAATTTGTTATGTTGCTTTGTGATCCAGTATATGGTCTATCCTGAAATGTGTTCCCTTTGGACTTGGAAGGAATGTGAATTCTCCTGACATTTGGTGGAATATGCTATAAAAGATCAAGCTGCCTAACACTACTGCTCATATCTTTTTAATACTGTTCAAATTATCTATATTTTTGCTGAATTTTTGTCTAGTTGCTCTGTTACTGATACTACTATATGAACTCTCCAACTAATATTATTGAATTTTCTATTTGTCCTTTCACTTCTATCAGTTGTTGCTTCAGGTAGTCTTAAAATATCTTTCTGATGTATTGAACTTTTCTTTTTTGTTGTTTGTTTTTTTTTTTGTCTCAAGTTATAGTTCTTATATTAGGCTTTTTTGTCTGCTTCTAATATAGCCACTCTACCTCTTTTAGGGTTACTGTTTGCATTCTATATATTTTACTATACATTTATTCTCAAACTATGGTATTATAGTTTATGTCTTGTAGATGTAAATGGATTTTATTTTGTTTATTCTGTTTAAGTATTTTGCCATTTCATTAGTATGTTTAGTCCATTTATATTTAATGTTATTATTGATATATTTGTATCTGTCATTTTGTTGTATGATTTTTATATATCTCATAACCTGTTTCTGTCTTCTACTTTCACTACTTCCTTTTTTTTAAGTATTTTAGGGTACCAATTTAATTCCTCTGCTAATTTATTTTTCAAATATTAATATTTGAGGTTGAAATATGCATCTTAACATTTATAACAGCCTGCATCAGATTAATGTTAACTTAATTCTGGTTAAATGTAGGAACTGTATTCCAATAAAGTTTAATTTTCTTATTCATTCTTTGTGTTGTTATTGTCATATATATTATGTCTATGTAGGCCATAAACCCAAAAGTACAGTATTGTAGTTACTGTTTTATATAAATATATGTCTTTTAAACAATTTAAAGACAATAGAAACTTTTATTTTTATCATATATTTACTTTTTCTGGTTGTCTTAATTTTGTCCTTTGTGTTTTTAAGTTACCATTTGGTGTTACTTCCTTTCAGACTAAAGGATTTGCTATGTTATTTCATGGAAATCAAGTCTTCTATTGATAAATTTTATTTTATTTTAATTTTAATTTGTGTTTATATAGGAGTGTTTTTATTTCACCTTTATTTATGATTTATTTATTTTATTTACTTATTTTGAGACTGAGACTCATTCTGTTGCCCACGCTGGGGTGCAGTGGTATGACCTCGGCTCATCACAACCTCCGCCTCCTGGGTTCAAGCGATTCTCCTGCCTCAGCCTCCTGAGTAGCTGGGATTACAGGCGCCTGCCACTGTGCCCGCTAATTTTTTGTAATTTTAGTAGAGACAGGGTTTTACCATGTTGGTCAGGCTGGTCTTGAACTCCTAACCTCGTGATTTGTCCGCCTCGGCCTCCCAAAGTGCTGGGATTACAGGCATGAGCCACCTTACCTGGCCTCACCTTTATTTTTGAACAAGCATTTTGCTGGTCATAAAATTCTTTGTTGACAGGTGTTGTTTGTTTTCTTTAACCTTGCAAATACAACATTTCACTGCCTTTATATTGCCATCTTATCTGATGAGACGTCAGCTGTTACTTGTATTGTTCTACTGTAGGTGATGCATCATTTTCATCCTTTTGCTTGCAAAATTTTTCTCTATTTTTCAACCCCTTTACTTTTTTGTGTCTAGGTGGAGATCTCTTTGCATTTTTCCTATTTAGATTTATTTTCTTGGATGGGTTGATGAATGTTTTTAAGCATATTTGGGAAGGTTTTATTCATTCTTTGTACATGTATGTTTTCGTCTTAACCCACAGATCAAGCAACCAGTGCAAGTGTTCTGCTAACTAGCCAGTTTATAGACTTCAATTACAAAATTGTATAATTATTAATATTATTTAATCATTATTTAGCTATACACTTTATATCATTCATTAATTGTATAAAGTGTATAATCCAATTATACACTGAGAAAACAACTAGTATATGGGTCTCTGGATCTTGTAAATTAATTATGAGCTGGTCCCAGGCCAGGACGCATTTATTATCTGGCTGCCATCTGCCCTCATCTTAACAATGGCAGGCTTGGGCCTGCTGGCTCATGCTTGTAATCTCAGCACTTTGGGAGACTGAAGCGGGTGGAACACTTGAGCCCAGGAGTTTGAAACCAGTCTGAGCAACACGGAGAAACCCAGACTCTACCAAAATAAAAATTAAAAAAAATTAGCCAGGTATTGTGGTACACACTTGTAGTCTCAGCTTCTTGGGAGGCTGAGGTGGGAGAATCACTAACCCTGGGAAGCAAAGGCTGTAGTGACCCTTGGTCATGCCATTGCACTCAAGCCTGGGTGTTGGAGTGAGACTCTGCCTCAAAAAAACAAACAACAAAAAAATGGTGGAAGTAATTGGTGATTTGGTTCTTTGAATATCAATTTCAATCAAGTTCCTATATTTAATAATTCTTAAAGTATATTGGCACTCCCTTTACTCATTACATGGTTTTGTGGGTAGAATGTTCCTATGAACCACTGCTGAATACTCTGGTCGCAATATTGTAGTTTGTGATCGTAGAATTTGACCTCCAAATCAGTCAGTGGATTGTACATCTGAAAACTGACTCCGTACCGAAAATTGGGCAAAATATTGCAACTTTTTATTGGGAAAGCTACTCTCATCCTAATGATAATCAATTCTTGATTAATTTTGTTTATACAAATAAGTGATAAATATGTTTCTTACTTTTAGAAACTGTTGTAGAATTTCATCCAGGGTGTCAAATTACATTTAGTCTTCATATCTTCTCAGGTTCATCTTGGCTGTGATAGTTTCTCAGAATTTTCTTGTTTCTGATAACCTTGACAATTTTGAGAAGCAGTAATCAGCCATTTTGTAAAGTGTTACTCAGTTGGCGTTTATCTGATGTTGTTCTCATAACTATACTGAGATCATGCATTCCAGGGAGGAAAACCACAGAGGTAAAGTGCCATTTCCAATGTATCAAAGTTACATTGTCTCAACGTGACTTTCTGTTAATATTAACCTTTAGTGGGGTAGTCTTTACCATTTTTCTCCACTGTAGAGTTATTTTTAATTTTTTGCCTTTCCATGTGGTACTCACTGTAAGGCATACACTATATGCAGCCATATTAAGAACACATTGCCTATGTAACAAACCTGCACGTCTTGCACATGTATCCCAGTACTTTAAATTAAACTACAAAAAAAGAAGAAATGAAGCACTATGCTCCGTCTTCTCCAGGGTAGAGCTTCTATATAAATATTTGAAGCTCTGCATGGACGATTTGGCTCTTCTACATTTATTTATATCAGTATGGAATCATAGGTTTTTGTAAGTTTGGGTTATAATTTCATATTTATTTAGCTCAAAGTTTTCCAACTTTGGCCATTGCTAGCTCTTATAGTTGTTTCCCGGGTCATTTTGACATACTTTCATTTTTTTTAAAAAACATTTTAACTTACCAGCATTACTACACATTCATCTCATCTTATATATTTCCTTCCCCAGACTTAGATTCAGCAATCTCTCCAAAGTGTCTTGGTTTCTTTTTTCTAGAATGGCATTACAAAACAAGATCTAGGTGTTAGGTATGTGCATAGATACCAGAGCGTCATTACTTCCAGGCCCTTTAAGTTGACAGGCAAAGAAAAAATGCTAACTTGCATATACACACATTTCTATCAATATTCTGTATGTAACCATATGTACCTATATAAAGCTAAACACGATTTTACACTGATCTCTCCAACTGTAATCCATTAACACATGAGTCATTCTGGCTTTCTTGTCTTCCTTATCTGTAACTTTTCACTCTGATAATATAAAATCTGGCTCCCACCACCTGTCATTCATTTACTTAATTGTTCAATTCAATTATACATCTATAGTGGTATCAAAATCATTAACCTGTACCCAAATGGGAAACATCTGTATTAAGTAGAGTACAGTGCACACATACAGCTTCTTTTGCCTTTCATCATACCAAATTCACTCATTTCTAAAATTATTTATATTAACATATTATTCTAACTCCACTGAGGTTATTTCATGCATTTATAAGTAAGTTTTCTTTTTTTACATATTGCATTCCATCCTTGGATCCCTTCAGTTCCTAAATGATTTCTTAAAAATAGGTACAATTAAGGTTGACTCTATGCTAAAAAGTTCTGTGGGTCTTGGCAAATGCGTAGTGTCATGTATCTATCATTATAATGTCATACAGCATGGTTTCACTGCCCTAAAGAATTGCCTGTGCTTCACCTATTCAACTTTCATCCTTTCTTGGAAATCACTGGTCTGTTTACCATGTTTATAGTTTACCTTTTCCAGAATGTCATATATTTGGAATTGTAGAGCATATGGCTTTTTCAGACTGGCTTCTTCTATTTAACAGTATGCATTTCAGATTTGTCCATGTCTTTACCTAGCTTAATAACTCATTTTCTATGGCTAAATAATATTATATTGTGTGTGTGTGTATATATATATGTATATATGTGTATATATATATACACACATATATATATGTAGCAGTTTGTTTATCCACTCATTTATTGAAGTATATCTTGATTGTTTTCAGCTTGGGGTGATTATGAATCTGCTATAAACATTCATGAGCAGGTTTCTGTGTAGACATAAATTTTAAAATCACATGAGTAAATATCTAGTAGTGAGATTACTGAATCACATGGTGAAACTACATTTAGCATGGTAAAAAGCTGCCAGACTGTCTGCCAAAGTGGCCCTACCAATTTTTTATTCCCACCACCAATGATTGAGTGTTCCTATTACTCCTCACCAGGGATTAATATTGCCAGATTTTTGGATTTTAACCATTCTGAGTAGTCATTTTGGATTTTAGCCATTGTAAATGAGTAGTCATTCTCCAAGCAATTTTTGTAAAGAAAATTGCAAGTCTTATAAAAGACACTGCTGTCAATTGTTTTATGTGGCTGTGGAGAGTACTCTTTAGTAGTATACTTTATAATAGTTATGTATATCGTTAGGGTTAATTATACTTATTACTGAATTTTGCTGAGGCTTATACCTATGCTTTGGATTAAACTAAACTAGAATTTTACCTTTTTAAAAATTTAAACAACTTTATTATTAAACAGAATTACCCAGCCCAAATAAGCTATGCAATGATTAGTATGGCTGACCATTGGTTTTATGAACATGGTTCTACCTCATATGGTTAAAGGTAAAAATTTTTAACATAATCATAGCCTAGATAACATTTTGATTTTCTTTCCAGTTACATAATTCGTAGCACTTCCAGATACCAAGCTTAATTTTTCCATTTATTCATGCATTTAGAAATGTTAATTATGTTTAGGTAATATGTGTCTCACTTTCTTTCATGCTCATATTAAGGGAAAATAAATTTCCAATAAAATGTCCTTCTTGTATGTTATAATCTACATCTTTATTTCCAAATTGGATAATTATTAGGCATATATTTAATAGCTACCCCAGGTTAAAAATGCTCAATATGACCTTAACTTTGAGAATGAAACATGCAATTTTCACTGTTTATTTAATTTTGCTATTTAACGTGCAATTTTAAAAGTGCAGTAGATCCTTTTACATTATTAACTGTCTTATATTTGTTTAAACTGTAGTCTTTTATATTGGATTCTAAAGAATGGAATTATATCTAAATTAGATCTTAGGATTAAGAATGATCTGTTTTATAAATATGGTTCTCACTTTATATAATAAAGCTATCCTTAAAATATGTAAATCTAGTATTTGTAAATAAAAGAATATTTTTAAATGAATACTAAATAGGTGGGAGGAACTTACTAAAGAATCTGACTGTAATATTTCAAAATGACAAATTATCTTAAAAACCAAAGTCTGTTTTCATTCAAATACTTATTTCTTTAAGATTAAACAGCCTAAGTTCAAAAACGTGCTTTTTCTTTTTGGTTCTATATATTTGAGGTACATTTACTTACTTCTCTTAATTTGTGGATGACAGTAAAAAGACAGAATTTAATTAACTTGGCCAAGGTCACATATCTGGAAAGTGATAAACAGAATATGACAGGAGTAGAATACATGTTTTTCTATCCAAAAATAAATGAACTTGGCCGAGCACAGCAGCTCTTGCCTGTAATCCTAGGACTTTGGAAGGCAGAGGTGAGTGGATTGCTTGAGCTCAAGAGTTCAAGGCCAGCCTGGGAAACATGGCGAAACCTCATCTCTACAAAAATTAAAAAATTAACTGGGCATGGTGGCATGTGCCTGTAGTCCCAGCTACTCAGGAGGCTGAGGTGGGAGGATTGCTTGAGCCCAGGAGGCAGAGGTTGCAGTGAGCCGAGATAGTGCCACAGTACTCCAGCCTGGGTGACAGAGCCAGAGCCTGTCTCGAAAATAAATAAATGAATAAACTTAAAAAGGGTTTACGCTACATTTACATTTGTGTTGTACTCCTAATCAGAATTAGTTAAAAACAGTGAATTACCAAGTACAGGAGTGGGGAGTAAAGCCTAGCTATATTTGTATCATGACAATAATGGCATTGAATTTTGCTAGAAAAAATGCAGGAAAAAAAGCAGTCAACTTATACAAATTGGTCTCTTAAACATTTTTAAATGAAATGTTCTGCTCTTAGCAATTGTGTCCTAGCTTTTTTTCAGACCAGCCTTCCCACTGAAAATAACTAAAAACTGTACTAAATAATAACAATAACCATATGTTTGGAAACATCAGAAAGCTACCAAGCTAGCAAGAATTTGAAGGACCAAGACTCCCCAAAAAAGGGAAGACGAGAAAGGTGAGCCCATTATTTTGAATCACGTTTCTTCCTCAGAGAATTTGCTCATTCAAAAGCTGGGACTTGGAAGCTCAGGAGAGCTTTCTCCATCTAACATGGAAAGAGAAAGTGGGTATTTGAGTTTAGGTCTCAAGAAAGTTGGGGCTCCACACTCATTTGGGAGTCCCAAAGGGCTAAAGCTAAGGAAAAGAATAAAGAAATGTATGATTGTTCACAAAGTCTGAAGTCCAGCTTCAAATCTCTTCATCCATTGAGTAGATAACAATGACTTGCACAAAACATAACTGCCCTATAAAACATCAAACTTCATAAAAATAAAGAGAATTTTAAGAAAAAAAAAAAGACAATACTTTCAAACCTGCAGCTATGAGACTGAGAGCCGATTTCTTGAAGGAAAAAATGACAGCTAGAAAACAACGGACAGACTCTGAGTTCAGAAAGAACTAAATACCAAAATAGAATTCTTTAATATTGCTGCCATCAGAATACTCCTCTCAAATTTTCACCTGCATTAACTACAATTGACTTAAACCCCCATCTTCTGGGCTCTGAAACCCATGCCTGAATTTGCTCCCAGGCTAATTTCCCACAGACTGCTCTTAGCGAATGACTGCATGGCAAGGTCACTAAGGCAAGCCCATTTCTAGGAAAGAGACTCAGGACTCTTTGATGGGCATCTGTGACCTGAGGACTCACTCATGGGCTTAGTGAATTTTTTATTATTATTATACTTTAAGTTCTAGGGTACATGTGCACAACGTGCAGGTTTGTTACATATGTATATATGTGCCATGTTGGTGTGCTGCACCCATTAACTCGTCATTTACATTACGTATTTCTCCTAATGCTATCCCTCCCCCATCCCCCAACCCCATGACAGGCCCCGGTGTGTGACGTTCCCCTCCCTGTGTCCAGTTGTTCTCGTTGTTCAATTCCCACCTATGAGTGAGAACATGTGGTGTTTGGTTTTCTGTCCTTGCGATAGTTTGCTCAGAATGATGGTTTCCAGCTTCATCCATGTCACTACAAAGGACATGAACTGATCATTTTTTATGGCTGCATAGTATTCCATGGTGTATATGTGTCACATTTTCTTAATCCAATCTATCATTGATGGACATTTGGGTTGGTTCCAAGTCTTTGCTATTGTGACTAGCACTGCAGTAAACATACGAGTGCATGGGTCTTTATAGTAGAATGATTTATAATCCTTTGGGTATATACCCAGTAATGGGATGGCTGGGTCAAATGGTATTTCTAGTTCGAGATCCTTGAGGAATCACCACACTGTCTTCCACAATGGTTGAAGTAGTTTACAGTCCATCAACAGTGTAAAAGTGTTCCTATTTCTCCACATCCTCTCCAGCACCTGTTGTTTCCTGACTTTTTAATGATTGCCATTCTAACTGGTGTGAGATGGTATCTCATTGTGGTTTTGATTTGCATTTCTCTCATGACCAGTGATGATGAGCAATATCATGAAAATGGCCATACTGCCCAAGGTTATTTATAGATTCAATGCCATCCCCATCAAGCTACCAATGACTTTCTTCATAGAATTGGGAAAAACTACTTTAAAGTTCATATGGAACCAAAAAAGAACCCACATTGCCAAGACAATCCTAAGCAAGAAGAACAAAGCTGGAGGCATCATGCTTCCTGACTTCAAACTATTCTATGAGGCTACAGTAACCAAAACAGCATGGTACTGGTACCAAAACAGAGATATAGACCAATGGAACAGAACAGAGGCCTCAGAAATAACACCACACACCTACAACCATGTGATCTTTAACAAACCTGACAAAAACAAGAAATGGAGAAAGGATTCCCTATTTAATAAATAGTGCTGGGAAAATTGGCTAGCCATATGTAGAAAGCTGAAACTGGATCCCTTCCTAACACCTTATACAAAAATTAATTGAAGATGGATTAAAGACTTAAATGTTAGACCTAAAACCATAAAAACCCTAGAAGAAAACCTAGGCAATGCCATTCAGGACATAGGCATGGGCAAGGACTTCATGACTAAAACACCAAAAGCAATGGCAACAAAAGCCAAAATTGACAAATGGGATCTAATTAAACTAAAGAACTTCTACATAGCAAAAAAAGAAAAAAAAAAACTACCATCAGAGTGAACAGGCAACCTACAAAATGGGAGAAAATTTTTGCAATCTACCCATCTGACAAAGGGCTAATATCCAGAATCTACGAAGAATTTAAACAAATTTACAAGAAAAAATCAACCCCATCAAAAAGTGGGCAAAGGATATGAAGAGACCCTTTCCAAAGAAGACATGTATGCAGCCAACAGACACATGAAAAAAGGCTTAGTAACTTTTTTCTAGAAATATATGTTAGACTGAGATACTTCCAACTACCCTTATCCCATTTCTCCCTTCTTCCCTTTATCTTTCAGAGTCTGACCTGCATTATCTGAGGAAATTTCCAACCTTTGCCTGTTCCTTCCTCATTTGCTTTTACAGTCATTTTCTCTAATACATTTCTTTTATGTCAAGTACTTTTTTGTCATCTGTTTCTTAGAACATCCTGCTATTAAAAAAATCTCTATAAAATGAAGTGATAATAGAGATATTATCATGATAAATAAGGCAAAAAATTTGACAGAATTCATCAGGTACCAAATTGCAAAACAGGAAACATGAAAAGTATCACTAAAGGAAGAAGAAACATTTTCCCAGATGGAAGTACAGAGATGCAAAACAGGAAAAAAAAAGTGGAGACAGAATAAATAAACCTGTGAATATAATGCATGTTCACTGTAGAAAATTACGATGATACCAATGTCTTATGAGGTTAAATAATACATGACAATAAAAGAACAAAAGTCAAATAACGTAATATGTAGTTGAAGATCTCTTAGGTTCTTGTGTTACTTATGGAAGTGAGCACCTTAAGCATGAGTAGGATTTGTGGATGTCCTCGGATTTCACTCCAGGAAAGGTGGCAGTGGTGAAGGGATTCTGCCTATGTAATTAAGGTGACTTGTCATTTGACTTTAAGGTAATTAGGAGATTAACCTTGCTAGGCTTGACAAGTTAGATGAGCCCTTGAAAAGAGGGTCCAGACCTTTCATAGAGAGAGAGAGACAGAGATAGAGATGGAGATAGAGCTACATAGAATGAGAGACAGAGAGAGTGTGTCTTGCTTGTTTTGAAGACCTAAGCTGCTTTGGGAAGGCCTCTTGGCTGAAACCTAAGGGTACCCTCTAGGAACTGAGTGACTGCTTTTCAAGGACCAATAGAAAAGCATTGACTTCAGTCTTATAGCTGCGCCAACCTGCAGTAAGCTTGAGAAAGAGCCCCAAATAGCAGATGGGATTCAGATTATTAGCAGAGTTCCCAGCTAAATGGGGTCTGGACTCCTGAAACCCAGAGATTATAAGATAATAAATGTGCCTTGTTTCAGGCTGCTACATTTTTGCTAATTTGTAACATTGCATTTATAAAATTATAGCTTTTATAGTTGTTATGTTAAAAACAGGTCTTACCCGACGATAAGTGTAAGTAAGACAAAAGGTCTTACTAGAGATAAGGAGGCATATTTTATAATAATAATTAACATACCAAAACATATACAACTCAAAAACACTTATGTAACTAATAAAATTGTCTGTAATTTACATAAGTCCAACTTTAAAAATTATTAGGAATAAATTCACTGTTACTGTAGCAGATTTTACCGTACCTTTATTTGAAACAACCATTTATTTCTGTTTCTAAGATATATTTCAAATATATCGCTTGAACAGTAATATTGTGATTTACAGAATTTTTTAAAATTACCAAGAAAATAACTTGAAGAAGGAGATAAAGAGTGAATTCAGAAGGCTAGATAGATTTTGAAATTACCATCGCTCAAATCTATTCCTCTAGTAATAATTCATACCTTCAGGTTGAAATAAATCTTCAGGTTAGTTATCTTGCATACATTGTTTTTGAGATTAAAATGCCAGTGACATCATTAGTCTGGATAGCAGGGCTAAATTAGTTTCATTAGATTTTTGTGCCAATATTTTGTTCAATTCATTTAAATGGATTGATACATATCTAATTAGGAAATAATTTCCATTAGATAAAAACACTAAATATAAAACTGAGACATTTATAACCTTTGTCTTATACAAATGTATTTTTTATTGCAACGGGTAGTGTTTCAATGGCTGTAATTTACTTCAAGATATATCATTATGCATTAAGTATATATGTGTCAGTATATTCAGTGACTTTAGGTTAGGAACTGTACTACTTCAAAATGTATATTTAATGGATGGTTACAATATCAGATATGTTACATTCCATAGCATGTACCACTACAATAAACACTTTGCTTTTTCATATCTCCATCAGCACTTGAGATTAACATTGATTTATTTTTAAATAATAGACATTTTAATTAGTATAATTATAATTAAAGATAGACATTCACTGATGGAACTGAAAGAATTCAAGAAATATAGATTAACAAAAATATTTTAGACACACTCCTCATCTTTGCATGAGTAGGATATCAGCATCTAGAGAGATCACTTCCTTGCTTCTTTAAGGATGGCATCTGAAGCTGCATCCTTCAGTGGTCCTCTATCCAGTCAAAGGTTTGGGATAATTCTGATTCAATGATATCAATTAAAATGGTAAAAATAATTGCTTCTGGAAAATTGTTTCATATCCCTGGCATGAATATTTCATATAAGGTGGTATTTAAACCGCCCAAACATACAGCTGGAAATTATTGGATTTACTGAATATGTTGCATTAAATGTGTTGTGGCTGGGTGAGGGGGCTCACGCCTGTAATTCCAGCACTTTGGGAAGCCAAGGTGGGTGGATCACTGGAGGCCAGAAGTTCAAGACCAGCCTGGCCAACATGGTGAAATCCTGTGTCTTCTAAAAATAGAAAACTTAGCCGGAAGTGGTGGTGCATGCCTGTAATCCCAGCTACTCGGGAGTCTGAGGCACGAGAATCGCTTGAACCCTGGAAGTGGAGGACAAAGTGAGCCAAGATTGCATTGCTGCACTGCAGAGTGGGCAACAGAGCAAGACCCTGTCTAAAAAAAAAAAAAAGAATGTGCTGTGACTGCTAACACACACTTGTTTCATAAGTACATGTATGTTTGGCAGAATTTGTACTGAGATTCACTTAATTTTAAAACCTTCAAATGAGATGGTAGACAATAGCTAAAATTAATGAATTTCATACCTAAAACTTCAAAACTAATCTAACAACTGTAAGTTATACATAACTGTATTTCCTTAGGTCAGTCCATTACCAAGGAACTATTAGAAGAAGAAAAGAAAAAAAAAAACTACATTCAAGGCAGAGAGAAAAGTAAGAGAAAATGCAAACAAAATGTGAAACTGTGAACTTTCAAAACATGAGTTCACACTCTGTTGCACACAACAAAAAGGCATTACAAACAAAATACAACAATTAAAAATGAAGAAAGTTAAGTCATTATAACCATGAGAAAAATATTGATGAGGGAAAGCATATGAAAATATTTTGGAGTTTTTGTTGTTTTTTTCTAATTTCAATTGTAAAATTAAATGTTCAGGTAGTAGACACTCAATATTTATTAAATGAAAAAGTTAATGGTTGAGCATATTAATAGATGAAGTTGAATTGTTTGAGATCTTGAACTTGAAGTTCATTATTAAATATTTTTGGGGTAAGGCAAGTAATGTTTTTTTCAGTAAGCATATAATTAAATCATGCATCCTGACTTGTATAAAATGACTAAATTTTATACAAGGAATAGACTGGAATAGAAAGAGATTGGGGGTAAGTAGGGGTAGGATGAGTGAAACCATAGAGGATATGATTACAGACTATGTAATGAGAAGTAATTGAGTATAAATATAAATTAAAAAGTGTAGGTATAATACTCAAAATTTTTTCGAGGGCTTATAATGTTCCAGCACTATTTTAAGTGTTTTACCTATCATAGTGATTTATTTTTTTATTTTTCATTTTATTTATAATCCCTCCTGAGTAGCTGAGATTACAGGCATGCACCACCACAACTGGCTAATTTTGATATTTTTAGTAGAGAAAGGGTTTTTGTCGTGTTGGCCAGGCTTATCTCCAACTCCTGACCTCAAGTGATCCACCCCTCTTTGGTCTCCCAAAGTGCTGGGATTACAGGCATGAGACACTCGGCCGAGGTCATAAAATAACTCCTTACGACCATCCTGTAAGATGAATACTATTATTACTCCCATTTTTCAGATGTACTCTTCATGCCACAGAGAATTGAGAGAGCTGGTAAATAATGGCACCAGAATTCAAACGTAAGCAGTCAAATCTGAGCGGACTCTAGAGATCAAATGTCTTAAACATTATGGAATAGGAGTGTATGACTGACTAACATCCAGTAATCATTAGGGAAAACAAACATGAGTGAGGACAACTGAAATAATTATGATACAATTAAGGGTGGTAGGTTACATTTGTATAGTTCTTTAAAATATGCATTATTCCACATGATCAGAAATATAAAAAGAACTAGACAGATACTGGTAGAGAGACAATTAATTTAAATTTGTAACATATTGCTTGGAGCAAGCATTCAAGTTGAGTGCTTAATGTGTATCGGTGACTGCACTGTGCAAATAAATTTGGGGTTAGTAAGAAAAAAGGGCCTAGAAAAATTAGAAGACTTATGCAATTTAACTATGTAAAATAGAAAAATTAAAAGTTAGCAAAAGTTAGAAGGCTTATGTACAAATAGATACAAAATTTATGACTTTAGGAAATGAAGTTATTAAGATAAGCTCCCTAAAAAGGTAATATAAAAATATTGAACATTTCCTTAGACATTTTCGTCAAGATTTTTATTCTATGCATAAATATATCTGAAGAGAAATGTAAATCAAATACATGTTTTGTCACCAAAATTCTTCTATTAATGATATCCTATTTTATAAAATATAAAGTAGGCAGAGGCAGTATTTACTAAAATATTAAGTTTGATTCATTTTGTATATAACCATTTTTCAACAATATGGTCTGTACAATATTTTATAGACCCATTAATTTAAAAAGCTTATTTTAAAAAGTTTAAAACTTATTCTACAATTATGTAAATTTTAAAATGATAGACGTAAATGGAGAGAACGAAAGAGTAAATCCTGACGTTCATGAGCTGGCCTAACTCTCACAGCGAGGGCATGCTATTCTCTTACTAGACATAAATAATCTTAGAGAATTCCAGCCTCACAATTCCTATCTCACAACCTCAATAGTAAGGATGCTGTGAGACCATGATAAAATGAGACAGTAAGGCAACTTCATAATTTTTTCTAAGCAGAAATAAAAGCAGGTTTCCTTTGCCACCCACAAAAATACCAAAATGCCCCGTTACTCAGCCAAAATTAGAGATTGACATTTCTTGATCAATTACAGTTTTAATCTTATACTAGTCTCCCCTTCCTTGTAGGTAAGATTTATTGAAGTAGCCAATTATAGAATTTCCCCCACTTTCTGACAGCACCCAATCTAGACTGAACCCCCACATACTTAGATGCATCCCTCAGTAATGCAACCAAAGACTAACTCCTATAGATTGTTTTTAACAATCTTTTACTGAGATACCCCAGTTTCCCCATAGCATGTGTTCTCCTTTGCTGCAATGAGTAATAAATCCACTGTGTGCAATTGCAGGGTTGGTTCCTGTGTATGTTTAGGTTGGGTCATTGACATAAAATAATTATTTATTCTTTTAGACACTCAAAACAATTTAATGCTTACTAAGTGATTAGCATTCTCTTAAAAATTGAAAATGTAAAGAAAATAAAATTCACGGTCTTTTTCCATTTAAGCAGCTCATAGCTAATGACTGAATGAAAGGAAAAATACCCAAAGTGATTAGTACAATTCTTTAAAGCATTAAAGAATAGAGTAACATGGAATTATTTCTAGTTTTGGTCGTTGAGATTATCTTGAGAGTGGTAACGGCTATGAAAGATAAGCCCTATTCTTCCAGGTACAGAAGGCAGTATTCACCGAAACAAACCCAACCTCAGATTTATTTTTTCTAAAACCCAGGTAGGTTTTTAATAGAAAGAAATACGCTATCATAGCCACTGATATTGTTTCATGATATTATGTGCATCTTTTAAAGCTGCCTTTATTTTTGGAAAAAGGTAGACTAGAAATGCTGTAATAGTTATTTTCTTTTAAAAAAGAAAAAAGTCAGCAAAATAGTGTCACATTAACCACTAGATAATTTTATTATAAAATTTTGTTAAAGACCATTGGAGACCAAAATGTGAGTTTCATAATTTTATTAGAATAAATGCATATAATTAGATTGTATAAATTTAGAAAGTTAACTGTATGACTTGTATTGTGTTCATAGTAAATGAATGAAATCATGTGAAGTCATGGAGCAGCATTAATAATCCCAAAATATCCATCTCCTATCAGTTTTGGGACTGAAAAGCCACCAATTCACAGTTAGTCACATGTGTATGAAGATTGAGAAAGTAGTTTAAATAATTTCTTCTAGAATTCTGGGGGAAAGGAACATGTTATGTTACCATCAAGTCATTTATTAATATGTCATTTATCTTAGTGATTAATATATTTCAAAAAGCTTTAGTTTCATACACGGAGAGCCCTACTAGAGTTGTGTATTTGCACTTGGCCAACCTAAGACTTTATTGATATTTGGATTAAACTACGTTAGTCTTGCTACATTCCTGTATGCTTAAAATAGAAGCTCAAAAAAGGGTACCCTTAGCTAAAGAATTTTTTTCTGTTTTCTTTTACAAGAGAAAAATAACTTCAGTTTAAAGTGAGTCTAAAGGACCATGAGTCTTAGAACATAAAATTTCCTATTATGTCATGAAGTAGAATGTCAATAACTTATGTCCAATAACTCAAAATGGATATTGAACTTTTATTTCTCTTTCATAAGTGAATCTCTTCGATCTCTATAACAAGACTACATACGTAGCTCAAGCACTAGTCAAAATTTAGCTTGATAGTAAGGTCTTCTGGGAATTTGAAACAGTAAATACATTGATGATAAACCTGTGTAGTTACAAGGTTATTAAACAAGGATGAACGGATACATGCGTGAAGACACACGCTTTCCCACACATGCGCATACATCCAGCCTATTCTACAAGGCCAAAGGACTGCCCAGACCCTGAGGCACTTCCATACTCTTTCTTCCACTCTTAACGTTTTTATTTTAAATTCCACAGGAAGTACATGTGAAAAAAATGATAAAATCTTATAGACTCTCTTCCTCTCCCTGTCAAAAAGCTAACAATTTTTCATATTTTGTCTTATATTTTCTAGAACTTTTTCTGTTTAATGGAATAATTTTATACATATTGTATATAATCTAAATGATATTATTGCCATAATATGATGTTGAATTGTTTTTTCATTACTCAGAAATTTTCTGTTGCTGGAAATTTAGTTTGCTTTCAATTTTTGCTGTTTTAATAACTAATGAATACTGGTCTCTCTCTATAAAATATATAATAAATGTTATATAACATATATATGCTATGTAACATATGTATGTTATGTTAGTGATTAACATATTTCAAAAAGCTTTAGTTTAGATATATACATAGTTTAGATATATATATGTCACATAACATATATATTTTATATAATAAAAAATGTATGTTATGTAACATATATGTTATATAACGTTCATTGGAAGGAAGCACACAAGTATTTCTATTAAAATGGCTATATAATAAATATAAGTTATATGTCTTAATTATATATAACATATGTTATATATTGTATATATAATATATATTATATTATGTTATATATTATGTAGACTATGTATTAAATATATGTATATATTATATATAAATATATAATATATATTTATAATTTATAATTATAAATATATTTATAATATATTTTTCTAAATATTTATATATTATATATTATATCTAATGATATATAATAAATATATTTCTAATATATTTTATATTTATAAATATTTTATATATATTATATATTTTATATATACTATATATTATATATTATATATTTTATATATACTATATATTATATAGTATATATTTTATATATACTATATATTATATATTATATATTTTATATATACTATATATTATATATTATATATTTTATATATACTATATACTATTTATTATATATTTTATATATACTATATACTATTTATTATATATTTTATATATACTATATACTATTTATTATATATTTTATATATACTATATATTATATATTATATATTTTATATATAATATATATTTATTATATATTTTATATATTATATATATTATATATTATATATTTATATATTATATAATATATATTATATATAGAATATATAATATATATTATATATAATATAATATAATATATATTATATAAAATATATATAATATATAAAATATATAATATATGATATATATAATATATATTCTATATTTATACATATATATTTAATATTATATTAATATATAATTATATATTATCATATGTAATAATAGATATAATATGTAATATATAAATTATAATTATATATTAATATTATATATTATTTAATATGTATATTTACACATATATTAATTATTAAATATATATATTTAATATATTAAATATTATGTATTAAATATATATAATATATTTATAAATATTTTATATATAATATATACATATATTAACATATATGTATATATGTATATATTATATATAACATTATATATATTATGTTACATATACTATATTTTATATGTTACATATACTATATATTATATGTTACATATAATATATATAACATATATTATAATATGTAACATATTATATATAACATATAATATATAGTATATATAACATATAACACATAATATATATTATATATAACATATATATTATATATAGACTTATGCCTTTTTCCTGTTATTCCCATAGGAAAACTCTTAATGAATTACCATGCCAACTAGCTTCCAACCTTTTAAGCCTGCTGCTGCATATTGTCAACTTATTTCATTTTATTTTATTTTTTATTTTATTCATTCTTTTATTATGCTTTAAGTTTCAGGGTATATGTGCACAACGTGCAGGTTTGTTACATGTGTATACATGTGCCACGTTGGTATGCTGCACCCATTAACTCGTCATTTAACATTAGGTATATCTCCTAATGCTGTCCCTCCCCTCTCCCCCAATCCTACCACAGACCCCAGTGTGTGATGTTCCCCTTCCTGTGTCCGTGTATTCTCATTGTTCAATTCCCACCTGTGAGTGAGAACCTGTGGTGTTTGATTTTTTGTCCTTGCGATATTTTGCTGAGAATGATGGTTTCCAGCTTCATCCACGTCCCTACAAAGGACATGAACTCATCATTTTTTATGGCTGCATAGTATTCCATGGTGTGTATGTGCCACATTTTCTTAATCCAGTCTATCATTGATGGACATTCAGGTTGGTTCCAAGTCTTTGCTATTGTGAATAGTGCCGCAGTAAACATACATGTGCATGTGTCTTTATAGCAGCATGATTTATAGTCCTTTGGGTATATACCCAGTAATGGGATGGCTGGGTCAGATGGTATTTCTAGTTGTAGATTCCTGAGGAATCGCCACACTGACTTCCACAATGGTGGAACTCGTTTACAGTCCCACCAACAGTGTAAAAGTGCTCCTATGTCTCCACATCCTCTCCAGAACCTGTTGTTTCCTGACTTTTTAATGATCACCATTCTAACTGGTGTGAGATGGTATCTCATTGTTGTTTTGATTTGCATTTCTCTGATGGCCAGTGATGATGAGCATTTTTTCATGTGTCTTTTGGCTGCATAAATGTCTCCTTTTGAGGAGTGTCTGTTCATATCCTTTGCCCACTTGTTGATGGGGTTTTTTTCTTGTAAGTTTGTTTGGGTTCATTGTAGATTCTGGATATTAGCCCTTTGTCAGATGAGTAGATTGCAAAAATTTTCTCCCATTCTGTAGGTTGCCTGTTCACTCTGATGGTAGTTTCTTTTGCTGTGCAGAAGCTCTTTAGTTTAATTAGATCCCATTTGTCAATTTTGGCTTTTGTTGCCATTGGTTTCGGTGTTTTAGAAATGAAGTCCTTGCCCATGCCTATGTCCTGAATGGTATTGCCTAGGTTTCTTCTAGGGTTTTTATGGTTTTAGGTCTAACTTCTAAGTCTTTAATCCATCTTGAATTAATTTTTGTATAAGGTGTAAGGAAGGGATCCAGTTTCAGCTTTCTACATATGGCTAGCCAGTTTTCCCAGCACCATTTATTAAATAGGGAATTTTTTCCCCATGTCAACTTATTTTAAATATAAGAATGACTGTTTAACATTTTATACCCATGCTAGTTTTTTTTTTACATGCATGGCAACATTAGATATTATCTAATGATATTTCTAAGATTTATTAATATAGTTTATAACATTTTATTATAAGGATGCTTTGTGTTTCCAATGTAACTTAATGAACCAAAAATAATAATTATTTGCCAACTCTCTATTCAACTGAACTCTCAAACATCTATTTCTGGCTATAAAATAAAATTTCTAATGAGATACATTGCCACATTATCAGGTAATTTTATTAAATCATTATTTGGAAATTAAAAATTAAACCGTTTTTTCTCTTAAATCAGAGTAATTTTTATTATTTTGCAACATGTTGCCATAAAATTATTTTTATTTCCAAGCATCCTCATTCTTGTGTAATATGCCAGCTACATTTTCTCTTTCCAAATTATAATTGACTTTGCAGATGTTAGTTACTGGCAAAATAACTTCATCTATAGGTAGAAGACTCATAAACCAGAAACAAAGCTCAACTTTAGCCAGGTTTAGCAAGGGTGAAATGTAACTACTGCTAGGTTATTTATCTGGTTGCATATTGACTTCAACACAAGGATATTGAAATAAAAATCTGTCTGAAAATAAGTCACTTCTGTTCCAGCTCTCAAAAATTATAATTACATTTGATCATTAGGGTTATTAGATTTTATGTCATTAATGAGTTACAGGCAGAAAAACAATTGTTTTATTTGTTCATTTGTTTGTTTCTTACAGAAACTGTAGATACTGAGGAAAAAATTTGGGTAACCCAAATTAAAAATTCAATATTTTAATGCTAGACGAAATTTTCCCTTGAAAAATGTTGTCTCGTCAAATTTTCAAGAATGTAATGTTGGATTTGATTAACTATGTAATTTATATACTAAAATAGAAGTGTTTCTTTAAAAATCTATGGATGAAAATCAGAGATGACTCAAGTAAATTTTTGAAGTGCATCTTCTTCTGAACTCTACTTTATTTCATCTGGCATTTAATTTTTTAGATGATAAATCTAAAGCTAGTATGATTCTACCTTTGGTAAAATTAACATTTCCTCTTCCTTGAATTGTTGAAATATTTATCTTGAATAAATATTTTTATGCATATGAATTGTTATTCATCTCTGCTTATTAATTTTAGCATCTAATGATCAGGCCTTTCCACTCTCAATCTTACATGCATGTTTTTTTCTTTTCTATCTATAATTTGCCGTTGCTGGTTTTCCTGTTTTCGCCTTTAAAAATTGTCATAATTGAAGAGCTATAGTTCTCTATTCCATTATTCACCACTCATTATATCACACTTTATTTTCTCATTGTTAGTGAACCTCCCTCATCTGTCATCTGTATCTTGAATATTTACAAAGTTGACTCTACATATTACTCCTTTCAGTCATAGTAGGTGTTGCTCTATTATAGTTATTTCACTCTTTATTTTCTCATTTAGTTAACATTAATACCTAGCTTCCTTTTGGCAGTTTCACGGAGACATTATATAACTTATTCACATTTATTATATAGCCATTTTAATGGAAATACTTGTGTGTTTCCTTCCAATGAACATACACTCCCATCTTTTTTTTTTTTTTAAGCCTGCAGCACTTTTTAATAAGCCCTATTTTTTTTTCCTTACATTGACTGAATATTGAGTTTGGTTTAATAGTGTTATTTTAGAGATGTGTACAGGGCTAGTGTCAAAACTTATAACATTTAACATTTTGCAACATAAAGAGATCTACAGTGTGCTGGATGTAAGGGACAAGCTATATGGGAGAGCTAACATTAACCTCCAGTTGCTTGGTTGCTTGCAGTTTTCATCTGTAAAGACATAAAGAACCCTGAATAAAATTGTAGTTCCTCTATCTCATTTTCAGTGAGGTTAACCAACTAAGAAGTAACCATCTAACACTAAAGGGAAAGTCTGAAGATTGAAATGGGAAGAGAGAGTAACAGAAACAATCTCCCTAGAATTGTTCAAAATAAACTTTAGAGGATTATATTTTGTTGGTTGGTTTTTGCTAAAAATTATGTTTCCTTTCAATGATTGTTTTAGCAAAATATCGGTATTATTGGAAATAATATTTCTGTTTCTATCCAATCATCTTTCCAAAATCCTGGCTCCATCATTTTTAGTCTTTTCAGTCCACTGAAGAATGAGTCTGATTCAGAGTTATGTAATTGCCACATGTTCATCAGATTTATTTGCCTTTCCTTGGAAGTCCACTGTGCTTTCAAATTCTTTCCAGTTAAATGGAATTCTAAGATTTTCCCATCTGTTTTTAATTTTTTTTTGTATTGGGACAAGGATAACTTAATTTTCTTGCATAGCATTTAATCCAACCTTCATTTAGTATTTCTGCAATGATGGATTAGTGAACACTGAAGCGTTTCATGATTTGCATAGATAGTCTTTTAATATTCCTTAACAAGTCCTCAAGTTCCTTTTCTTGGTATGTTGTGTAGTTGTTATAATGTTCCCCTATCCTCTGAAAAAACTTAATAAAATAAAAAAGAAAATCATTTTCCTTGATCCTTCTTAGTGTCACATGTGAGTAGTCTGAGCAGGTTGAAGATGACTTCCAGTTGAAAGACACTCTATATGTCAAAGTATCACTAATGAACCATTGGTAGAAGTTTAGTTTGTAGTTGCATAGTTCTTCTAAAGTTACAAAAAGTTATTCTTAGGCTGCATACTTCTCAGAAATTTATAGGCTAGTGGACAATAAATATTAGTCTAAAATATAGAACACGGTTAATCTCAATATCAGATATATGTAGAATGGCAAAAGTATACTTACTACAGCAGGTGTTTTAAGCAACGCACAAAGATGTATTGGATGGCCAGCAAACTCATCAGGTTGCCGGGATCATCATGGTGAAGGATCAGAGACAAAAGTGAGACTAAGCGTGATATGAATATGCATTTTAATGGAAATTAAAAAGCCCATGTGAAGTAGCAAAATATAAACTAGCAAAACAAACAAGTTCCAAAGAGCATTAGTAAGGTTTTATGATAAGATTAGAAATAAACATAAAGGGAACAACAGAAGAAAACGACCTCTACTCAGTATGGTAGTTTCACATTCATGGTGGTTTCTCTAGAGTTTTATGTTAAAGTTTGACATAAGGATTCCATTTAGAAAGTACAAGAACTCAAGCTCTTCATTCTGAAATAGAGAAAAGTAAGTTTTCAAAAGCAGCAGGAAGGAGGCAGCATCTGTCACTTTTCACTTGATGTTTCTATAAAGGCCTAGAAAACAGACTGAAGCCAAGAGCACCTGTGTTCCTTAGAATGCTTTCTGTCCCATTTTTTCATCCAAAACCCATTGCTTTCTGTTTCTGCCTCATCATCTGATCAGGATTTATCATTATTATTGTTGTCATGATTACTATTATGTATCGTTAGACTCTCTATCAGCAACAACAGATCATTATCGTTTCATTTTTTTCCTAAGGCTTCAACCATTTCCAAAATGTAAATGTTTATGATTGTTTCAGAAGGAGACAGCACTGAGCTCCGTTCAGGAACTTGTCCAGGCTTCAGATGGCTTGGTTTGCATTCCCTGCTGGCTGCTTTAAAGCTAAAACAGATGAACAATATAGATTTAAATGGGGTAAAATGTTTTTTCTTAAGTTTATATTTAAATAATTGAAGTAGGCTTTATGCAAAATATCTCCAAAGAATATCAACTCTTGATGGCAATGACAGTAAAACGAAGTACTGTTTAAATTCCTTACTCCAATTGGTAGATACAACGTAATATAGTGGAAGTAAAACTGGATTCAGGGCTAGAAAATTTAGGGGCTAGTTGCACCTTCAAACTTTTTTGTGAACTTGGGCAAGGCACTAATTTTTAGTCATTTGTAAAATGTTAAGGCTCTTAATGTCAAACACTGAGGTTACGATTTTGGGTTCAAGGACAGTGCTTTATTAGGATTAAGGTAAAAACAGAAAACCAAAAACATACACTAATGAGCGAAGGTTTGATCAAACATGGAATTCTTAACTTCTTTACAATATGTATATAAGGAGAATCTTTATTTCGTTTAAAAAGGGAAACAAAGACCTGAACTTAATTAATTGAATTGTGAATTATAAGTTTGTGGTAACCTAAAATACTTAAATAAATAAATGCTAATATAATGACCGACCCAGATCATTCTCGTTGTTGCCTCCTGAAGCTGCTACGACTTTTTAATTTTTTTTTTATACTTTAAGTTTTAGGGTACATGTGCAGGTTTGTTACATATGTATACATGTGCCATGTTGGTGTGCTGCACCCATTAACACGTCATTTAACTTTAGGTATATCTCCTAATGCTATCCCTCCTCCCTCCCCCAACCCCACAACAGACCCCAGTGTGTGATGTTCCCCTTCCTGTGTCTATGTGTTCTCATTGTTCAATTCCCACCTATGAGTGAGAACATGCGGTGTTTGGTTTTTTGTCCTTGCGATAGTTTGCTGAGAATGATGGTTTCCAGCTTCAACCATGTCCCTACAAAGGACATGAACTCATCCTTTTTTATGGCTGCATAGTATTCCATGGTGTATATGTGCCACATTTTCTTAATCCAGCCTATCATTGATGGACATTTGGATTGGTTCCAAGTCTTTGCTATTGTGAATAGTGCAGCAATAAACATACGTGTGCATGTGTCTTTATAGCAGCATGATTTATAATCCTTTGGGTATATACCCAGTAATGGGATGGCTGGGTCAAATGGTATTTCTAGTTCTAGATCCCTGAGGAATCGCCACACTGACTTCCACAAGGGTTGAACTAGTTTACAGTCCCACCAACAGTGTAAAACTGTTCCTATTTCTCCACATCCTCTCCAGCACCTGTTGCTTCCTGACTTTTTAATGATCGCCATTCTAACTGGTTTGAGATGGTATCTCATTGTGGTTGTGATTTGCATTTCTCTGATGGCCAGTGATGATGAGCATTTTTTCATGTGTGTTTTGGCTGCATAAATGTCTTCTTTTGAGAAGTGTCTGTTCATATCCTTCACCCACTTTTTGATGGGGTTGTTTGTTTTTTTCTTGTAAATTTGTTTGAGTTCTTTGTAGATTCTGGATATTAGCCCTTTGTCAGATGAGTAGATTGCAAAAATTTTCTCCCATTCTGTAGGTTGCCTGTTCACTCTGATGGTAGTTTGTTTTGCTTTGCAGAAACTCTTTCGTTTAAGTAGATCCCATTTGTCAATTTTGGCTTTTGTTGCCATTGCTTTTGGTGTTTTAGACATGAAGTCCTTGCCCATGCCTATGTCCTGAATGGTATTGCCTAGGTTTTCTTCTAGAGTTTTTATGGTTTTAGGTCTAACATTTAAGTCTTTAATCCATCTTGAATTAATGTTTGTATAAGGTGTAACGAAGGGATCCAGTTTCAGCTTTCTACATATGGCTAGCCAGTTTTCCCAGCACCACTTATGAAGTAGGGAATCCTTTCCCCCTTTCTTGTTTTTGTCAGGTTTGTCAAAGATCAGATAGTTGTAGATGTGTGGCATTATTTCTGAAGGCCCTGTTCTGTTCTATTGGTCTATATCTCCGTTTTGGTACTAGTACCATGCTGTTTTGGTTACTGTAGACTTGTAGTATAGTTTGAAGTCAGGTAGCGTGTTGCATCCAGCTTTGTTCTTTTGGCTTAGGATTGACTTGGCAATGCAGGCTCTTCTTTGGTTCCATACAAACTTTAAAGTAGTTTTTTCCAATTCTGTGAAGAAAGTCATTGGTAGCTTGATGGGGATGGCATTAAACCTATAAGTAACCTTGGGCAGTATGGCCATTTTCACGATATTGATTCTTCCTACCCATGAGCATGGAGTGTTCTTCCATTTGTTTGTATCCTCTTTCATTTCATTGAGCAGTGGTTTGTAGTTCTCCTTGAAGAGGTCCTTCACGTCCCTTGTAAGTTGGATTCCTTGGTATTTTATTCTCTTGGAAGCAATTGTGAATGGGAGTTCACTCATGATTTGGCTCTCTGTTTGTCTGTTATTGGTGTATAAGAATGTTTGTGATTTTTGCACATTGATTTTGTATCCTGAGACTTTACTGAAGTTGCTTATCAGCTTACGGAGATTTTGGGCTGAGATGATGGGGTTTTCTAGATATCATGTCATCTGCAAACAGGGACAATTTGACTTCCTCTTTTCCTAATTGAATACCCTTTATTTCCTTCTCCTGCCTGATTGCCCTGGTCAGAACTTCCAACGCTATGTTGAATAGGAGTGGTGAAAGAGGACATCCCTGTCTTGTGCCAGTTTTCAAAGGGAATGCTTCCAGTTTTTGCCCATTCAGTATGATATTGGCTGTGGGTTTGTCATAGATAGCTCTTATTATTTTGAGATACATACCATCAATACCTAATTTATTGAAAGTTTTTAGCATGAAGGGTTGTTGAATTTTGTCAAAGGCATTTTCTGAATCTTTTGACATAATCATGTGGTTTTTGTCGTTGGTTCTGTTTATATGCTGGATTACGTTTATTGATTTGCGTATGTTGAACCAGCCTTGCATCCCAGGGATGAAGCCCACTTGATCATGGTGGATAAGCTTTTTGATGTGTTGCTGGATTCGGTTTGCCAGTATTTTATTGAGGATTTTGGCATCGATGTTCATCAGGGATATTGCTGCTACAACTTTTTAATTGGCTGTCATTTCAAAAAACCAAAATTCAGGATCTTTAAATCTTTTTTTTTTCAACAGATAATTCACTGCAACACTTTTGTGCATCTTAATTTTGTTGACCCAAATGAAAACATTAATAACTGCATGTGATTGTTGAGCCGCATGAACTCCTTTTTTTTTGAGATGGAGTCTGGCTCTGTCACCCAGGCTGGAGTGCAGTGGCCCGATCTCAACTCATTGCAACCTCCGCTTCCTGGGTTCAAGTGATTCTCCTGCCTCAGCCTCTGGAGTAGCTGGGATTACAGGCATGCACCACCATGGCAAGCTAATTTTTGTATTTTTAGTAGAAACGCCATTTCACCATGTTCGCCAGGTTGGTCTTGAATGCCTGACTTCAAGTGATCCGCCTGGCTTAGCCTCCCAAACTGCTGGGATTACAGGTGTGAACCGCCATGCCTGGCCATGAGCTCTTTCATGATAAAAATATTTATTGTCATCTCCATAACATGCCAAATCTTTCTCCAGAGTGCAGGAACAGAATCTTTTTCAGCAATGAGATGGCTTTGTTTTCCTCACTATATCCAGAATTGCATCAGCTTTTCTGAAATAAATGTATGACTCAGTAAGAATATAATTTTAATAAGTAGATCAATTCTGGAGTTAATTTTATTAATACATTTGAATATTTCACTTTGGGTAACTTAATAATGTGCAATAGAAAGCAAAACACTAGACCAAAAATCAAGATTTGTTCATTTTTATGGACTTGACAAATTTTCCTTTTTGAAAAAAATAATGTGATAGTCTGTTAGTATTTCTGGGCCTTTTTATACCTAAAATAAGAAGATAAAGGAAATAATCTTTAAAGTCCTTTTGCGCTAAACCATTATGATTTATCACATTAATCAAATAAGCTTGGGTATTTTTACGCACTGGACTGTTAGTAGAGGAGTCAAATGAGATCTGTGAAAGTTTAGGTTGGCTAAGAAGACATTCAAGGAAAATCTTTGCTTCAGTATTGAGTGACACAAGTGATCTAGTTGTTGACCTGTATGAGCTATGAATCATGTAAATAAAATGCCCTATCATGGTGTTCAAAGGGACAGTTGTTGCAAACATATTGTAATTTAGTTATCATTTGCCAGCATATCCACAACTGAAACATTATCATGTAGTTTCAACTGTCTGAAGTTGACCAGCTGTTGTCCACATATCAACAGAAGAAAAACTGTAGCACCTCTTTGCCAATCAAAAATTCCATTAGGCAAGCTGCTTAAACTAAAAACTAAGCTAAATCAACAGTGGGAGTGCAAGAAAAATGTACTGTTCTACACACTTATATAAAATGTGGAGTTTATATGTAAAGACCTTATATGACATAATATATGATAATATATGATCATTATGACATAACTAGGGACCAAATATGTAAGTGAAAAATAATCTCAACATTTATTTGTTTAAATAATATAATCAGTAATCAAAGAAGAGGGCAATGTTAACTTTCATTGAAAACAGTTTTTTTCTTTTTATATGTTTATATAAACATATACACACGTGCACACACAAACATATGCATCTATAAGCTACATATATAAATCTATAAAGTTTATATATTATATATACATATATTTCAAAATAATTAGATAAGAAGGGATAATTCTGGACAAAAGTGAGAGGAATTATTCCAGAAGTAGAAAGAACTTATGGGTATGATATCCACATAAATATCCAGGTAGAAAGATGGTACTATACAGCTTTCAAAATGGTAGACAAGGTAAAATCTTTAAGATGGTGACTTAGGATAATTATTTGGCCTTCATTCTTTAGAAAAAGAAGCTTGTGGATTATATTATTGATTATGTAATGAGACACTAATGTAACATAATGAAGTAAAGAGTACACTAATGTAGGCCAAATGAAATAGATATGACAAAAGCAAAGGAAGATTTCAGCAGGGAGAAAAGTCAAGAAGCAATGTTGAGAAGGAGGAGATCACTATTCTCTTCAGCCTTGATCAAGGGATCTCTTAAAATGCTAGTAGCTCATGTTCATTTTTATGGCTGCATAGTATTCTATGAGGTGTACATACCACGTTTTCTTTATCCAGTCAACTGTTGGTGGACATTTGGGTTGTTTCCATGACTTTGTTATTGTAAACTGTGCTGCAATAAATATGTGCTGGTGTCATTTTTATATAATGATTTATTTTCCTTTGGGTAAATGCCCACAACATGGATGGAGCTGGGGGTCATTATTTGAAGTAAAAGAACTCAGAAGCAGAAAATAAAATATCACATATTTTCACTTGTAAGTCGGAGCTGAATGATGGCATATTAGTCCGTTTTCACACTGCTTTAAAGAACTACCTGAGATTGGGTAATTTATGAAGAAAAAAGGTTTAATTTACTTACAGTTCCACAGGCTTAACAGGAAGCATGACTGGGAGGCCTCAGGAATCTTACAATCAGTTGAAAGGTAAAAAGGAAGAAAGGACCTTCTTCACATGGTGGCAGGAGAGAGAGAGAGCGAAGGTGGAAGTACCACACACTTCTAAACCATTAGATCTTGTGAGAACTCACTGTCATGAGAAGACCAAGGAGGGAATCTGACCCACAATCCAATCACCTCCCACCAGTCTCCTTCTCCAATTTGACTTGAGATTTGGGCAGGGACAGAAATCCAAACCATATCAGATGGGTATACGTGGTCATAAAGATGAGGAAAATAGACCCTGGGGACTCCAAAAGGGGAGAGGGTTGGAAGAGGCTGAGAGATGAAAAATCACCTATGGGATATAAAGTTCAAAATTTGGGTGATAGGCACACTAGAAATCAAATTCCACTATTACACATATAATACCCAGGTAACAAGCACATGTACTCCCTAAATCTAATTTTATTTTTTAATTAAAGAATTAGAGTACATTAGATTTTTTTCCCCCAATTTGTTACTTAGGATGATGACCAATATCATCTATGATGGTTAGGAAATTCTGTCTGATTAAATTTGATTACAACTCAGTGAACTGAGCCTTATATTTTATAAGCACAAGTGCTTAGCTTATGCTTAATGTCTACTGTGCAAATTTCAGTTTTAAAATTTTTGTTTAAGAGTATAAAAGACTCAGGAAGATTGTTCATAGAGAAAGCTCAATTTTCTACTAATATGAAGCTTACTGAGAGCATTTTGTGTGAGGATGATATATTTTCCATGCTATGCCTCCTAAAATCAAGTGGTGAAATGGAGTGGATTATTTTAATAACTTGAGGGGTAAGCAGGAAAAACTTCGATGCCTGGAATTCCTCTCTTCACCATCAGAATGTGCTTTAACAAATATATTATTATATCCTATTTTAAAGGTATTTGGAGCACAAACATTTATTTTTATGAAAATTTACAATTGTAGTAGGTTGAAGTTGATGACTTTTATTCTGGATCGTAATAGGGGAGTAGGTATTCTACATATCAGAGAAGCGGCCCTTCAAGTCCTACTCATTTGGATTAGAAATGGAGTCATTTGGTTGGCTTTGAGATTATTGGCTACGGTTTATTCTGGAAGAACAACAGTCAGTAGTTATTTAAAATAATCTAAATACTCAAATTGCAATAATGTGATATTTAATGATTATCTTTAAAAATGCTGTTGATTCAAACATGAAACTGGAAAAAAGCTTTAGATAGGAATCTAAATGTCTTCAATTCATTTGGAAAGCAATTTGATGGTTTAAATGTTTTAAAATTGTTATCAATTTTGTTAAAACAGCCTGAATCCTAATTTTTCTTTTTAAAAATTAAATTATTGATATATAATTAATATAAAATATATTGCACATGTTTAAACTGTACAATTTGATAAGCTTTGACACACATCATCTATCACACACACGTCTGCGCGTGTGGAAACCATCACCAAAATTAAGATAATTATATATTCATCACCCCAAAAGTCTCCTCATACACCTTTGAATATCTCCCTCTACCACACATACTACCCTAGGTAACTATTCATCTCTTTTCAGTCATGAAAGTTTAGTACTCATTTTCTTCTTCTTTTTTTTTTTTTTTTTGCGATGGAGTCTCGCTGTGTCGCCCATGCTGCAGTGCAGGGGTGGGATCTCAGCTCATTGCAATCTCTGCCTCCCGGGTTCATGCCATTCTCCTGCCTCAGCCTCCCTAGTAGCTGGGACTACAGGCGCCCGCCACCATACGTGGCTAATTTTTTTGTATTTTTAGTAGAGATGGGGTTTCACCATGTTAGCCAGGATGGTCTTGATCTCCTGACCTCGTGATCCGCCCGTCTCGGCCTCCCAAAGTGCTGGGATTACAGGCATGAGCCACCGCGCCCAGCCTAGTGCGCATTTTCTAGATTGTAGTATACTCTTTTTGTCTAGTTTCTTTTGTTAGCATAATTATTTTATTCTTGTTTATATATTTACCTAATTGTCTTTATCCATTCATCATTGATGGATACTTAGGATGATTACAATGATTACATACCTTGGCTCTTGTGAGTAATGCTGCAGTGAATATGAGAATAGTTATCTTTTTGACATTTTGACTTCAGTTACTTTGGATCTATACCCCAAAGTGAGATTGCTGGATCATATGGTAATACTATTTTCAGTTTTTTGGGCAACCTCTACGCTGTTTTCTGTAGTGACAGTACTAATTAACATTCCAACCAACAGCATATAAGAGTTCCTTTTTTTCACATTGATATCTCATTGTGGTTTTAATTTGTAATTCCCTAATAACTGTGATGTTGAACATCTTTCCTTATATCAGTTGGCCATTTCTATGTCTTTTTTTTTGATAAATATTTATTCAGGTTCTTTGCCCAAATTTTAATCAGCTCATTTATTTTCTTGCTATTCAGTTATTTGAATTCCTTATGTATTTTGGATAGTAACTCCTTATCAAATGTATTGTTACACATTTTCTTCTGACACATAGGTTGTTTCTTCACTCTGGTAGTTGTTTCTTATGCTATTCAGAAGCTTTTTAGTTTGATGTATCCCATTTTTTAATTTTTTATTTTGTTGACTGTACTTTGGGATCAAATACTAAAAGAAGAGTACAGTGAGCCAGTATTACTGATGAACATGAATGCAATAATCTTAAGAAAAAAAAACTCCGGCAAACCAAATTCAATACTACATGAAATGGATAATTTGCCATGATAAAGTAGGATTTATCCCTGGGATGTGAGGATACTTTAACATACACAAATTAATAAATGTGGCATACTACAATAAAATTAAGGATAAAATCATGTGATTATCTCGATGAATGCAAAAGAAAACATTTGACAAATTTGACATTGCTTTACAATAAAAACTCAACAAATTAGGCATAGAAGAAATATATTTCAAAACGAAGTCCTATATGACAAATACACAGTTAACATTATGCACAATGGTAAAAAGTTGAAAGCTTTCCCTCTAAGATTGGGAATCAGACAAGGATGCCTACTTTTGCAACTTTTACTCAACATAGTAGTGGAAATCCTAGCCATAATGGAAATCCTAGCCAGAACTCTTAGGCAAGAAAAAGAAATAAAAGATATCCAAATAGGCGGGAAAGAAGCGAAATTTTCTGTTTGCTGATGACATAATTTTATACATAGAAAACTCTAAAATGCCACCAAATACATGTTAGAACTGGGAAACAAATTCAATAAAGTTGCAGTATACAATATATAAAAATCAGTAGTAATTCTGTATGTTAACAAGCCATCTGGAAAAGAAAGTAAGAAAATCTGATTGACAATAGATCATTTTTGGTTGTATGGGCATTTTGAAAGTATTGATTCTTCTGATCCATGAACATAAAATATTTTTCCATTAATGTATTTTTTCAATTTGTTTCATCAATGTTTTGTAGTTTTCAGAGTACACATTTTTCACCTCCTTGGTTAAATTTATTTGTAAGTATTTTATTTCTTTTCTGTTGCTATTTTAAATGGAATTATTTTCTTAATTTTTGGGGGATGTTCTATGTTACAGCATTGAGATAGAAAATCTGTAAGGAACATTGAAATTGAAGTATACTTTAGGTCAAATGGACCTAACAGACATGTACAGAACATCCCATCCAACAGATACACATTCTTCTCAAGTGCACGTGAAACATTTTCCAAGATAGATCATATGTTAGACCCAAAAGAAGTCTTAAAAAATTTAAGAAGAATGAACTCATATCACATATTGTCCTTGGTCACAATGATGTGACACTAGAAATAACAGGAGAAAAACTGGAAAATGTATGAATATTTGGAAATTATTAAACATGCTCCTAAAAAACAATGCATCAAATAAAAAATCAAAAGGTAAGTATCTTGAGACAAAAATGAAAACACAGCATAATTTACGACATGCAGCAAAAGGTGTTCCCAGAGAGTTTATACCAATAAACAAGTAAAAAAATTAAGATTTCAAATAAACAATCTAACTTTAGATCTCAACAAAAATAGAACAATTAATACTTTATTTTTTTATCCATGAAATAAATCTGTATTGTTGCTACCTCTCTCACTATTGATGTTTCTAATTGGTTAATTCTTTCTTTCTTTCCGGATAGTCTGGTTTAGAAATTTGTTTGATGTTTGCAAGGAACCAATAAAAATAAGCAAAAACAGATAGAACTTTAAGGAGAAATAGACAACTACAAATCTAGACAGAGATTTCAATACATTTCTCTCAAGAATAGATAGGACAAGTTGTCAGAAGGTAGTCATCGGATTTATTGAGGCACTGAACAACACTATCGGTGAAATTGACCCAACTGACCAAAAGTGTTCTAATTGTCAATATGAAACACTACATCCCACAACTGAATCCACAATCTTTTCATGTATACAGGAAACATATTTTAAAATAGATCATATTAGAGCCATAAAATAAGTTTGAACGCATTTAAGTGTATTTAAACTATCTTAGGATTGCTCCTTAACCCTAATGGGATTAAATTAGAATTCAATAGCAGAGGTATATCTCAAAAATCTCCCAATATTTGGAACATACATAGAATACATCTGAATAATTCATGGGTCAAGGAAGAAACAAAAGAGATATTTTAAGGTGCTTTGGAATAAATAAAAATGTAAATATATATCAAGTACATCGCAATCAAATAAAGCTGTATTTAGAGGTAAATTTAATGCACTAAATACCTACATAAGAAATGAAGAATGATCTCAAGTCAATTACCACAGAATATCCACCGTAAATACTAGTAGAGGGAGAGCAAATTAATGCAAACATTAGTAAAAGAAAGGAGATGACAAATGAGTGGGAATCAATAAAACAGAAAATCAGGGACACCAACACTGTTTCTTTGTTATGATTACAAGTTATTTCTTTTTTTCACTTTCTAAATTTTAACTCTTTCTAATATTTAGTGTGTGCACTAGGATTGATAAAATGTATCTTATTGTAATTTATCTTCAAGTGATATACAAGTTGATGTATAGTATAACCTTGAAACAGTATCATTTCTCTTTCCTCTTGTCCTCTGTTCTATTATTTTCATAAATTATGCATGTGAAATAAACTCTGCAACACATTACTTTTATCTTTGTTTTAAACTGTAAATTCTCTTTTGGACCTTTGATAATATAAAGAATATATATTTTACCCATGTAGTTACCATTTCTGGTTCTTTTCATTATTTTGTGTGGATATTGATTTCCACTCAGATCATTTTCTTTCTTCTGTAAAGATGTGGTCTAACATTTCTTGCACTTTGCATTTGCTGGTGATGAATTATTTCAGCCTCTGAATTTTTTTAGATAAATAATTATTTTTATTAATTTATAAATTTACTTATATAATACATTTTTTAAATGGCTATGCTGAAAACCCTGTTTCCATTTAAAAATTTGTAATAGGCACATAATAATTGTACACATTTATGGGGTACAGTGGCCTGTTTTGATACATGTATATTGTGAATGGATCAAATCAGAGTAATTAGCATATCTATCACCTCAATCATTTATCATTTTGTGGTGAGAACATTAAAAATCCTTCTAGTTATTTTGAAATATACATTATTTACTATAATCACAATACCATGCAATAGAACACCAGAATTTATCTCTTCCAATTGTAACTTTGTACCCGTTGACTAACCTCTTGCCATCCTTCCTCTCCATACCTTCCCAGTCTCTAATAACCACTGCTCTATTTTCTACTTTGATGAAATCAACTTTTTTAGATTCCGTATATGAGTTTGATCATCCAGTATTTGTCTTTCTGTTCTGACTTGTGTCACAATATAATGTCCTCCAGGTTCATCCATGTTTTTCACAGATAGCAAAATTTCATTAATTTTTTTATGGCTGAATAGTATTCTGTTTTATTCCTTAGCATTCTATACCATGTCATTAGTATTTCATAGGATTTCATTCCATCCCACATTTTCTTTATCCATTCATTAATTGTTGAACACATAGGTTGATTTCATATTTTGACTATTGTGAATAGTCCTTCAATAAACATAGGAGTGCAGATATCTCTGACACACCAATTTCATTTCCTTTAGATATACTCAGTAGTGGGATTACTGGATCACGTAGTAGGTCTGTTTTTAATTTTTGAGGAACCTTCATGCTGTTTTCCACAATGGTTCTACTAATTTATATTCCCACCAAGAGTATATAAGGGTTCCTTATTCTTTACGTCCTTGCCAATACTTGTTATTTTTTGTCTTTTCGATAGCTATTCTAATTGGTGAGGTAATACCTCGTTGCAGTGTTTATTTGATTTCTCTAATGACTAGTGATGTTGAAAATTTTTTCATATACCCATTGGCTATTTGTTGTCTTTTGAGAAGTGTCTACGTAGGTCTTTAGCCCATTTAAAAAATTAAATTGTTTTCTTTTTATTTTGCTATTGAGTTGTTTGGATTCCTGTATATTCTGGATATTAAACTTTTGTCGGATGTATACTTTACAAATATTTTCTCCCATTTTGTAGATTGTCTCCTCAATTTGTTGATTGTTTTCTTTGCTGTGCAGAAGCTTTTTAGTTTGATGTGAGTATTTTAGTTTTGTTGCCTATTTTTGCTTTCGTTGTCCAAGTTTTTGAGGTCTTTAAAAAAAGTTCTTGCCTAGTCCATTGTCATTAAGTATTCCCCCATGTTTTCTTATACTAGTGTCATTGTTTTGTGCCCTACGTTTGTCTTTAATCCACTTTTTGGTTGATCATTATTTTTTTTTTTGAGATGGAGTTTCTCTCTTGATTATTTTTAATATAGTGAGACAGAGGTTTCTAGTCTCATTCTTCTGCATGTGGGTATCCAATTTCCCAGCACCATTTATTGAAGAGATGGTTCTTTTTCCAATGTGTTTTGGCACTTTGTAAAAAAATCAGTTGGCTCTTGATGTGTGGATTTATTTCTGGGTTCTCTATCCTTTTCCATTGTTCCATGTGTCTGTTTTTATACCAGCTCTGTGTTGCTTGGTTAGCTTTGTAGTATATTTTTGAGGCCAGGGAGTATGATGCCTTCAGCTTTGTTCTTTTTTTCCTCAGTATCGCTTTGGTTATTTGGTGACTTTTGTGGTTCCATATGACATTTAGTATTGTTTTTCTATTTCTTTGAAGAAAATCATTCATATTTTGAAAGGAATTGCACTAAATCCATAGATCACTTTAGAAAGTATGATTTTTAACAATGTTAATTCATCCAATCTATGAACATGGAATATCAGTTTCTTTCACAAATGTTTTATAGTTTTCAGTGAAAAGATCTTTCATTTTTTTCATTAAATTTATTCCTAGGTGTCTTAATATTTATACCTCTTGTGAATGGGATTCTTTTCTTGATTTCGTTTTCAGATAGTTCCTATTAATCATGTAGAAATGCTACTGATGTTTGTACACTGATTTTGTATCCTGCAACTTTGTTGAATCTGTTTATTAATTCTAACAGTTATTGTGATGTCTTCAGGATTTTCTACTATAAGATCATGTCATCTGCAAAAGAGACAATTCGGCTTCCTTCTTTCCAGTTTGAATGCCTTTCATTCTTTATCTTTCCTAATTGCTTTTGCTAGGAATTCCATTGTTATGTTGCATAGAAGTGGTGGAAATAGAAATATTCTTGTAACATATTCTTTTAAAAAGAATTTGAAATGAAGGCAAAGCTGTATTTTTTTCTGGCTGATTTTATCATTTTTCTCATAATCACTTGTTTTTAGTAATTTTATTATGGTGTTGTTAATGAAATTGTTTCCATGAGTTCAGACTTAGTTTTCACTGAAGCTGTTTTGATATTTGGATTTATGGTTTTTACCTGATTTTGAAAATGTTTCAGTCATTATTTTTCACTTTTTTTTTTTTATGCTGTCCTCCTTTCTTTACATCTTCTTTAGGGACTCTATACAAAAATTTCGCCACTTGGATTTTTCTCACAGTTCCCTTATAATCTATTCTTTTTTTCTCCTTTTTTCTCATGGTGCTTCTTTTTTAATAGTTCCTATTATTGCTATGCCTTCAAGTTCATGACTGTTAACTGCTGCAATGTCTGTTCTGCTGTTTATCCTATCTTGTGTGTTCTTCATTTTGGACACAACATTAGAGGTTTTACTGTTAGAAGTTAATTTCTGTTTTTATTAAATGTCTTCAATATTAATATGTGTTCAAACTTCAACTTATTAAATATAAGACATTTTTATAACAGCTGTTTTTATATTTTTATTGATTTTCTAATCTGCATCATTTAAAGTCAATTTCAATTGATTTTTCTATTCATGAGCTATATTTTCTTGCTTATTTGCATATCTTATAGTTTTTTAATTAAATCTTAATACTTTACTTATTTGGGTGCTATTTCTATTCCTAGAAATAATCTGGTGCTTTTTTTCTGGGAGGCATATTAAATTATTTGTAAGTAGTATGAGAATCTGGGTCTTGCTCTTCAAATTTGTTACATGAGACAAGAGCAGTGTTAAGTCTAGGGCTAATTTTGTTTCATCGCTCACGTAAACTTCTGACTTTTCTAATCAATGCTTCCTGAATTACTTGCTCTTCCAGTCTCATTGGTGGTAACAGGAACTACTGTTGGTCTTTTCTTAAGTTTGGAAATTATTCTTTTAATATTTTTGTGTGATTCTTCTCTTATCCTTGTGTAGTTTCTTCACGTGAATGCAGAAATATGGAGTCATTTCAAAGCTGGAGGGGGACTTCTCAGTTTAGCTTTATCCTTTCTCATACTCTTAGATTTATAATTTAGTCTCCACGGACACCCAGTAATGTTTCCTCAATTCAGTGAGACTGTTGAACTGTCCGTATGACCTCTCCCTTCATTATAGCTTAAAAACTCTTTCTAGGCATTACGATTGGATACATACAGGGCATAGTTTATTTGTTTCCTTGCATTCACAGAGAACTGTCCTTCTTTGCCTGATGTCTTGAGATTAGTTGTTTCAGATATTTTGTCCTAATTTTTTGTAGCTTCTATAAGGAGGGCTAGTTCACTCCCTGTCATTCTTAGTTGGTAGGAAATGGAAATATTCTAGGAACATACTCTTTTAAAATGTTTTGAAAAGAAGGCAAAGGCTATATAGCAATTAATTGATTAAAAGAGAAAATATATACATGTACAATTGCAAAAGCAAAAAGAAGAGGAAAATAATCTATTATCTTAAAGATATAATGTTAAGGATATTAAGTAGTTTATGCTATCTCCTTTTAACAAAGTATTTTGTAGAGAGTATTGTCTACATGTAGGAATGCAAAGATAGACTTTGGTGTCAGTTAGATCTTAATTTTATTCCTGGCTTTGTAAAATATGGGTAAAAATTTGTAGCCAAAAAGTTTTTGTAAGATACCCATTTCTTATCACAATATTTGGCATATGGCAAATGATCACAACATTACTATTAAATGTTACACGAGTACTGCTTTGGTTTGGATGTTTGTCTGCCAAATCTAATGTTGTATTTGGTTCCCAATGTTGGAAATAGGGCTAATGGGAGATGTTTGATTCATGGGGATAAATGCCCCATGAACAGCTTGGTATCATCCTTGAAGTAATGAGTGAGTTCTCGCTCTGTTGGTTGCTATGAAGGCTGGTTGTTAAAAAGAGCCTGGCACCTCTCTTACGTCTCACTTCCTCCTCTCGTTACGCACATTCAGGCTTTCTTTCATCTTCCACCATGAGTGGAAGCAGCCTGAAGCTCTCACAAGATGCAGATCTGGTACTATGCTTCTTGCAGAGCCCGCAGAATTGCGAACAAAATAAACCCCCTTTTAAAGTAAATTACCCAGCCTCAGTTATTCCTTTACAGCAAGACTAAATGTACTGCAGCAAATACCTTCTTGGATCTACCTGGGATATGTAAGATTCTTAAGAAAGATGCTTAGAGTTCCTTAGGAACATAGGGGAACAGGATTTAAGTAAATCAAAGCAAATTTTCTTCCACAGCTGATTTTATGTCTTCTTTTCTATTTACCTTTGTGCCATTATTTCATTGTTTCATCCTTGCCTTATAAACAGTACAAACCATATTACTTTGGGCAAATGTGATTCTCACTCTTTACTAAAGTAGCAACTAAGCAACTATTGCCCTTCTGCATCCTCTCTAAACAACATATTCATAATCCCTAAATCTCTGCTACTTCCCCTCATGCCTTAATCAGAAACCAATTATTGTTGATCTTTGACAGTACATACTTGCCAAAAAGTATTGTAAGCTGGTCACTTAGATAAATTTTATTTTTGTAAAAATACAAAAGCACATAAATATAATGTTCTTCTCCCATATTAACCTATCAAATCTAAAGTATCCGATGGTTCCTTAATAAAATTCCTACAGTGACATTCATATGATGCTCCTTATTGGGAAAAAAATCTTTCTCTGGGTATGAAACCATGTTAAAAGATGTCTAATGGAAAGGTAAACAAATTTGTCACTCCCACGGTCAATATTTCCTACACTAAGGTTTTCCACACTTCTGGTTCTCTGTAGGAATAAAAATAGAATTATAAGAGGGGATGTTAAGGCTATTCTTGAGTTAGCTCTGAGTTGATTATAAGTTACAAGCCATGGAATTATAACTCTCCTTTTTCTTCCAAGATACTAACAGCAGTAATGACTGTGACAACAACAATAACTTAATACCTTCCACTTACAAGTAGTCTTTTACATGAATTTTGGAAACAGTAATTACAGTTTTCAATGCTTTTGAAAATTGTATATTGGGATAGTCATTAAGTCCCGTATAAAGATGAACAAAAAAAAGATGTAGTGACCTGTGCTTTTTATTCTCTCTGCATTGTAGCCAGGTCAATAAACTGAATAAAAACAAAGAATCTGATGATCTATGAAAACAAGTGAAGTATCTATTAATAGTGGATTTTTCTAAGAACGATTACTAGGAAAGTTGGTTTAAAGTGATAAAATGTAAAGGTTACTTTTATAACTAGTAAATCAGACAGTTTAATGCTATCGTTTTCTTTTGTTGTTGTTGTCTCTTTTTATTTTGAGGTGGAGTTTCGTTCTTGTTGCCCAGGCTGGAGTGCAATGGCGTGATCTCGGCTCACCACAACCTCTGCCTCTCAGGTTCAAGTGATTCTCCTGCCTCAGCCTCCTGAGTAGCTGGGATTACAGTCATGAACCACTGTGCCCGGTTAATTTTGTATTTTTATTAGAGATGGGGTTTCTCCATGTTGGTCAGGCTGATCTCGAACTCCTGACCTCAGGTGATCCACCCGCTTCGGCCTCCCCAAGTGCTGGGATTACAGGCTATCGTTTTCTTTAAATCTTTTCTAGCAAGTCAACTTTTGGTCTTACCTAGTCCCTAGAAAATCAAGAAGAGAATTTTAAAAATATATGATTTTCAGTCTGATTTCTTTGAACACTGAAGAACATACTGTTGTCTTATCCATGTTTTATGTTGCTCTCATTCAATAATTTTTTGAACTAGATGGTAAATTTCTTTTTAAATGACCAATCTATTTTAAACTGTGTATATTTTAGATGATTATTTGATTAGCACTTCACCAAATATTTACTGACTGCCAAAGAACTTTAAGAAATTCTAAAACACTCAGCTTGAAAAATAACTTTGGGTATTATTTGATTAGTATACTCCATTTATCCAGCAATTTCAAAGAATGAAGGAAGTTCATAAATGTATTTTATATAGTTGAAAATTTCTCCATTATAGAGCAAATCTTTAAGAGAAACCATATTTGATGAATCACAAAACTGGATACGTATTCTGGATTGTCAAGGTAACTGAGAATGTCCAGATAATTAGAAATATCTTCTTTAGAAAGCAAAAGATATAGTTTGGCCTTGGCAGCCTCATGGCATACAGCCAACCTATAAAATGGAAAGAGCCTGAGACCCTGAATCACCTCTTGTAAGAATAAAAATGGATTGTTAACTTGAGTGAGAAATGAAGGGTTTAGTCTTATTCTACTAAAAGTTTGGAATTTGCATATTCCTGCAAGTAGCATTACTCTACTACATAATCTGTTCATGTAGTCAGTCAATTTTGAATTGACTTTTTTTTTTGCCATGATTATGAGTACTTTTAAATGAAATAGAATAAACGTATGTTGTTAGGTCTTTAGTCTGTAATTATTTCATGCATGCTTTGAAATACAAAAGTAATTATACATTATTGCAATAGATACCTAGTTTTTCCCACGCCACTTATTAAATTGTCCAATTTTTTTTACTAATTTGAAACGACACTGTAATACTATCCATATCTGTGATATTCTATTTCTAGGTGGCCTATTTTTTTACCATGGATTTTGTCATCTGTTCCTATTCTGCTCCCACAATATTTTAATCATTACATCTTTTTAAATGTTCTTAAATCTGGCAAGGCATCTGCTTTTTAAAAGTCTTACTTTTAATAAGCTGCTTAGATATTATATTACATTTATTTTTATATGTGTATTATAGAATCACATAGTCAAATTCTCTAAAATTACTGATAACATTGTTGCTGGGATTGAAAAATTTGTATTTGTGGGCAAATGAAATCTTTAAAATACTTACTTTTTCCATTCAAATATTTAATATATCTCTCATCAATAAATTCTTTAAAATTTTGGGGTTAATATTATACTGTTTTTAGTTATACGTGTTGCTAGGTTATTATTTTTACCTACTTTTTATCTCTGAAGGGTAACATTTATTTTTTAAAACAACCTTAATTCAAATACATCAAGAATTCACAAATAACAAAATGGAGTTTTCAAGATTCTATATTTTTTTAAGTTTTAATTGTTATTTAATTTGAGTTATATATGTTATTTTGGCTGGAATAAGAATTCAGTTTTCAAAGTTATTTTATTTCATCTCTTTGAAGATATTTCTTCATTTTTTTGCATCAGTTTTGCTGAGGGATAATTTTTTTTCTGATGCCTATTATTCTGTGAAGGTTTAGGATTCTGTTTTTTTACTGGTGTTCTTAAACGTCACTGCCATACATTGAAGCACATATATATATATATGCATATGTGTGGCACCCTTTGTGGTACTTGGTGAGTCCTTTCAATATGGAAATTGTTCTTTGAGTTGTTTTAGTATTTAAAAAAATATTTTCTGTATCATGGCTATTTCTTCTTTTGTAAACTACTAGAATGTTTTTATACAGATAAGAAACTTCATGATGTGGTCTCTATGTCCCTTGATTTTTATCCTGCACTTACCATAATATTATACAATTTTAACATTCTGAGATCTTTTGAATTTTATATCCTAATCTATTTGTATTCTATTGTGATATTCCTATATCTTCTCTCAGAATTTTGTGAGCTTTTAATCCATGGAATTCATAATTCTAGTTATATCATGTCCTTTTTATAACTGAACTTGGACAAGAATATTTTCACCTCAAATTAATCTCAAATATTATATAGAATGTCATATAATCTGATAATATGTCATATATTCTGAGAATAAAGTACAAAGGACAGAAATATCCCAGTAAATTATTTGGCTTTGTGTGTTCACCATAGTAATTCAATTCTGTCTCTCTTCTTAAAACACTGTGTTCGCCTATTCTTAATAATACTACATTCTTATAAAGAGGGAGAGAGTTACATGCATGAGGCAGGGAAGAGTAATTGCAATCCCAAAAGGATGAGGGAGTATAACAGGGTGGTTTTTGGTGAGCAAAGTACCTATAAATAGGGAAGATGCCAGTAAGATCCAAGATTGGTAGTAGAGACAGAGTGAGCCTCAGGTTATTAAGCAAATGTGAAAATGAGACTAAATTAGAAAACTGGAAAAAATGTACAGAATTAAATCTTAAATTTCAGGGCAGGCTGCCCTAGAAAAAGCAGAAGCTTGATAAAATGTAATTTCAACAAAACTGCTTAGCCAAAAGTAGGTTTTAAAAGTGATGGATGTTCTTTAAAGATAGAATAATGAGCTACATGAGTGGTAGTATATTGTAGTGGTTCAGAGTTTAGGAACTGCTGTCAGAAACTAAACTGCCAGAGTGTGAATCCCATCTCCATGAATGACTAGTTTCTCTGTGCCTCAGGTTCCTTGTATATAAATAGTGCTTATTACATGCTACCTCCTTTTAGGATGTTTGTATAGATTAAATTAATTAATGCACATGCAACACTGTGAATAATGCCATAATAGCTTTTGAATAAATACCAGGCATTTTAATACAGTAAGCACTTGGAAAATCATGTTAACGTTTATCCATATTAAGGTGACAGAACAATATGATGATGATGAACTTCCATTGATCACATTCTATAATTGAGGTATGTGCCTAACCTAATTTAATCCTCCAGTGACCCCATAAATTAGGTATTGTTATGATTCTTTCATTGGGTAAAAAATCTGAGCCTTTGAGTAATGAGTATTTTTCCAAATTTATGAAGATAGTAAGTCTAAGAATTGGGATTTGATTGGGTCCAGGGCCTTAGCTCTTGCCATTATGCTAGGATTGTTTAATTATTTTATCAGTTGTTTGTATAGGGTCTTAGAAGAGGTAGATGTTTGCTTCTTTGGGTGTGTCTTTTAACTTTTAGTTTAAATAATAATTTACTTTTATAATCAACAATGAAGTTTTAACAGTCCACTATTCAGAGCTATTGAAAGAGAGATTTTTTACTCTTGGAGAGGCATAGTGGGATTAAGTGAAGGTATTAGGAAAATATCTTTTGTGCAAGAGGAGCTCGATATCACATCTAAAAGGTCCCCAGAATGATTCTCATGCTTGACTTCCCAGCTCCTTTCTGTCTACAGTTTATTACTATGAACAGAGTATAAAAAGAAGGATAATATTTGATACTTCTTAGAGCTAAGGGATTTGAAAAGTGCTAGAGAGCAAGATATGTCATCAGCCTTTGAAAATAAACTGAGCATTCTCAATAAAGACTGGAGGAGCAGTCACTGCATTCATGATGTGTTCTTTAAATGACATAATTGCCTTTTATGCATTAAGGCAGAAGACTGTGCTTAGAAAACAAAGTTTATGGTCAGTTTGCAGCATAAAAGGTAACAACAAAAAGCCATAATAGCAAAGATCTTGTGTTAGTCTATTTTGCGTTGGTATAAAGGAATACCCGAGATTGAGTAATTGATAAAGAAACAAGTTTTATTTGGCTTATAGTTCTGCAGACTGTACAAGAAGTATGGTGCCAGCATCTACTTCTGTGAGCATCTCAGGAAGCTTTTAATCACAGAAGGTGAAGGAGGAGCAGGCATGCCATATGATGAGACAGGAGTAAGAGAAAGGGAGAAAGGGGGATTCCAGACTCTTTAACAACCAGATCTTGGATGAACTAATAAAGTAAGAATTAACGTATTATAGGGGGAGGGCACCAAGTCATTCAAGAGAGATCTGTCCCCATGACCCAAACACCTCTCACTATACCCCCCATTCAACATTGGTCATATTTCAACATGAGATTTAAAAGGAGCAAATATCCAAATTATATCAGATCTGTATTGAGAATTTAGATTTTATTATACTCTGTGCTATTTATACTGTGATATCAATTATGGATGCAAATCTTATTGTAGTAAACACGCATACAAACACTTACATAAAGTAGTATGTCAGCTACGTGGAGTTTATTCCTCTTTATTATGTATCGTTGTATGATAATGCCAGAAATCCCACCATTTTGTTGTCTTTCAGAATCACTTTGTCTGTCGCTTTCTTCCTCTATCTCTCTTTACCTCTCCAATGTGGATTGAATCTTTTTCTTTACAAATTTATGTGTGTATGTATCATATATGTTTCCTTTATGTTAAATAATGCAAAAGAAGACAAGATAATAAAACAATAAATCTCCACAACTACCTCACCTCCAATCCTACTCCCAATGCCCGTAAGTTTCTCCAATATTATCAGTGTGGTGAACATCCATTTCCATGCTAATACAGACTTTTATGTATCAAAATCCCAAAAGGATACACACACACACACACACACACACACACACACACTCACACATATGCAAAGTTTGAAAGTGGAATTATGGTAATTGTGACACATCTCCATATATCTAACACACTTACTTTAATATCAATGTAATATACACATGTGGATGTATTATAATTTATTCAATTACTCCCATTTTTATGTACTCACTTCTGTTGCACTGCTGCAATAAAAAATTTGGTACATATATTAGTATGTACTTACGTTTGTATTTTTTAGTCCTCTGCAGCCATCCTTTCTTAAAATACACGTTTGTTTTGATTGATTCTTTAATGTATACATGCAAACAAGATTTATCAGATCAGCTTTCTTGTGTAATGTAGCATTAGAGATTTCCTTCTTTGGAACAATAAGGATGAGTTATCTGTGTGCAGATATTAGATATAAAAGAAAGTCACAAAGGTTACATCCCTGAATTATAAAATAATTCCCAAGCAGGCTTGTGCATCTAGGTATATACTAATTTAAAATATATATACATTTATATGTTGTCATAAGTCAAGATTTAAATTGAGATTTGTGGTAGTTAAAATGGCACAAATATTGCCTCTTAATGTTATAAATTTGCATTATATATTCCTTTAAATATTATAAAATTTTATAATTTGCAATCTATTAGAATCATATTCATTTTAATAGATACCGTTCATCCTCCCAAAATAGTAGCGTACATGTAAGAGTTGTATCAATTCTATATAATACGAAATCCAGAGGTAGTTTACATTCGAGGATGATGTAACAATTCAAAGTTCCAGTGTGGAAACCTCACATTTTTCTTCTGTTTTCATGGTCACAATCAGCCGCAGCACTCCCAAGAATTATTCCTCTGTTTCTGGCAAAAAGAGGAAACGACAAAAAGTGAAATGTGGATGCTAATGAGTCTGTTCTTTTTAAAAGTGCTTTTCCAGAAGAACTAAACCATGACTTCTATTTACAGTCTGTCTCTGGGCTCCACATCAGCAGATTCAGCCAACTAGCAGGTGGAAAATATTCAGACGAAAAAACAATAGGACAATTTGACATAATACAAATAAGAAAACAATACAGTGTAACAACCACTTAGCATTTACATTGTATTAGGTAGTTTAAGGACTCTACAGATGATCAAAGAATAAAGGAAGATATGCATAGGTTATAAGCAATACCATTAAAAGCAATGTCAATACTACTTTTACACCAACCTAATACACCATTTTTTGTATCAGGTACATGAGTATTGGTGGATTTTGATGTTGCATTGGTCCTGGAATCACTCTCTCACAGATATCAGGGATTGACTATATATCCCATTAGAGAGAACTGTCATAGGGCATCTATCTACAAAGAATACTGGAGGGCATTTTGTCTGAATATATTGCCATTATTAAATGAAAAAGTGAAATAGGAAAGTATGAAATCCATGTTTGCCACAATTGTGTGTGTATTTATATATATTAATGATCACCATGAGCATCAATCCTAGTGTGATAATACAACTTTATACCGCACCTTTCACAACATGGGTGCCACTTGAGCCTTGCTCGATGAACGTGTATTGATTAATTAATTTATGGTATTTACCAGATCATTTTTGTCTTGGTTTGAAGTAATATATTAGCTTATGCATTATAACACAGTATTTCCAAATAACCAAAAAGCTAAAATGCTCTTTTACTTATGCTCCCCATTATGAAAAATGTATACAGAACAGAATTGGCATGAAATGTGTCTATTCCCATGACATAGACTATAATGGAAAATTATCCAAGCCTAGCCTAGCCTTACGATTTTAATCGTGTTATCCTCTTCATATGTCATACTGTAGTACGTGGACTATATCTAGTACATTTATTTGATTTAAAACTATTTCCAGAAAAATAATTTTTTTTAAAGCTTACTAACCAGCTTTCCTCAGCAGGCACATTTTTCTCTTCACAAAACGTCACTATTTCTTCTTAGCACAGCTGAAAGATAATGTTTGTAATTCACGGCTTTGATAAAGAATTCCTGAAGTAGTTCTTTACTGAGTATACATGCTCAGAAAGAAATGTGAAGATTTGGGAAATTATCTGGATAAGTCAGAAAAATAAAATAGTTTTTGTTAATGGTAAAAGGGTAATGGGGTATTTTAGCTCCAGTTAACTGAGAATTACGAATGTCAGAATGAGAATTTATTATATGAGAATGCAGTCTATCTCTAGCTATATCTAGATTTATGTCTATATCTATATATCTTCTTCTCAAATGCCATAGTTCAAACAATTAGTTTGAAGAGCTTAATTGTCTAGACTGTTTTCCCAACTTTACAGTTGCCTAGTTTCTCTTATTGATTCTTACAACATTTTTTGTATTAGGGAAAATTTCAAGTATACAAAAAAATAGAAGAGTATAATGGACTCCCATGTACTCGTCACTCATATTGAACAATCGACAACTCATGGTAAATCCTGAGTCATCTCTTCCCCTGTCTACAACCCCTTCCTATATATTTTATAAACATTTGATCTGTAAATAGATTAGCATGTACCTCCAGGAGACAACCAGTCTGTTTAAAACAACATGTCCATATTTAGCCATTATCATATCTAAAAATCAAATATTCTCAAATATCCAGTCAGTATGCAAATTTCTAACTATCTCCTTTATGTTTTATTGTAAACAGTTTTTTTTTTTTGTTTTTGTTTTGTTTTTGAGAGACAGAGTCTTGCTCTGTCGCCCAGGCTGGAGTACAGTGGCATGATCTCAGCTCACTGCAACCTCTGCTTCCCAGGTTCAAGCAATTCTCATGTCTCAGCCTCCCACTTAGCTCAGACTACAGGCACGCACCACCATGTCTGGCTAATTTTTGTATTTTTAGTAGAGATGGGGTTTCACCGTGTTGGCCAGTTTGGTCTCGAACTGCTGACCTCAAGTGATCTGCCCACCTCGGCCACTCAAACTGTTGGAATTACAGGAGTGAGCCACCACACCCAGCCTTATTGTAAACAAGTATTTTTGTTTTGAGTTAATTAGGATCAAAACAAGGTCCATATGTGGATATTGGTTGATAGTTCTCATAAGCCTCTCCTAATATGTGATCTCTCTCTCTCTCTTTCTCTTCCTCTTTTTCTCTTTCACTTTCTTCTTGCTGAAAATACTGGGTGGTTTATCTTGACATTCCTCCACAGTCTAGATTACACTGACTGTGCCTCTTTGATGTTGTTTGTCATGTTCTTCTGTTCCTCTATGTTTCCTGAAATTTAATTACTGGGAATTAGAGTGTGATTGCATTCAAATCTGAATTTTTTTGCAAGTCCATTTATGCATTGTATTGTGTTCTTCCATGGGTTTTGTAAGTTTATATGTAGTGTGGGCTGAGATAAATGGTTTTCAAAGTTGTGTTATTTATTTTATAATTTAGTTACTTTCTGTAATAGTCACATTAATTATTAGATATTTAATGTTAAAATTAAATATTTATCACTAAATATTGTGGTTTTGCTTCTAAATAACAGAAGCAAACACTCTAAATTCAGTTTGGAAATACTAGTGGTATCAATCTTTGTGCCATTCTAGGATGTTAAGGCTATCATATTAGAAAATAAACAATTTAAAGATATTGGCTGGGTATGGTGGCTCACGCCTGTAATCCCAGCACTTTGGGAGGCTGAGGCAGGGGGAATCCTTGAGGTCAGGAATTCAAGACCAGCCTGGCCAACATGGTGAAACCCCACCTCTACTAAAAATACAAAAATTAGCTGGGCATGGTGGTGTGTGCCTATAATCCCAGCTACTGAGGAGGCTGAGGCAGGAGAATCGCTTGAACCTGGGAGGCAGAGGTTGTGGTGAGCCAAGATCACACCCTTGCACTCCAGCCTGGGCAACAGAGCAAGGCACTATCTCCAAAAACAAAAAAAAAGATACTAACAGTAGCTAAAAATTTTGGCATGTGTTATCTGATTTAATCATCCAAACTAAATTGCAAGATGTGTGTAGTTTTCATTATACAGAAAATGAGACTGAGGGTTACAGTAATTTTGCCTAAAAACACACAGTGATGGCATGGGGTTTTGCCAACAGGCAACGTGACTCCTTAGTGTTCACTTTTAACCACTATGCTGTACTGTCTTGAAGACAATAATAATTCAACATAGTAGTAGTCTTCACTATCAACAGATTTTAATACTTCTGAAGATGCCAAGCCATATTCAAATTTATGAAATAAGATTGAAACTGATTTGACACAAATTATAATTGTGCTATAGTATCTACGCTGATGTGTGTGCGGCATGTAGCGGGTATATGGTACAGAAATGCTAAAAGGATTGTTGTAAACTAAGGAAATTTTCTCTATAAAATATGCTAAAAATAAATTTCTACAATTAGGAAAAAAGCAAGAAATGGCATCTGCTTATACACTTTGAGAGCTATTTCACTTCCATGTGAATCACTTCAATGTTGGGTAGCTCTAACTTAATTTTTTAAAAAATTGGGTTTGAAATCAATTTTCTTATAACTTGTACCTATTTTGACAATAAATTTTCAGAGTAGAAACAAATATTTCTACCCTCAGTCATTAAATGTAACTTTTAAACATCAACTCTTCAAGTATCTTAAAGCACTGGTTTATCCACACTCAATCTCTCTATACAGCAACATTCCATTTCTTCAATTACCCACATGACAAAAGTTTTGTTTGTTTGTTTTTGCCTTAGTGATATGGGAGGGGGGGCAGAGAGGTGCTGGGTAGAGAAACGCGGGTCCCTGGCTAGGGCTCCACCCCCACGGATGTAGGTGAGGACATGCATTTCTGCCTTCATACCAAAATGCTGCATTTTCCAAGACCATCCTGGCCTGCCATGTCCCCATCCTGAGCTTATAAAAACCCGATACCCGGCCAGGCACGGTGGCTCATGCCTGCAATCCCAGCACTTTGGGAGGCCGAGGCGGGCGGATCATAAGATCAGGAGATCGAGACCATCCTGGCTAACACGGTGAAACTCCGTCTCTACTAAAAATACAAAAATTATCCGGGCGTGGTGGCGGGCGCCTGTAGTCCCAGCTACTGGGGAGGCTGAGGCAGGAGAAGGGGGTGAACCTGGGAGGCGGAGCTTGCAGTGAGCCGAGATCGCGCCACTGAACTCCAGCCTGGGCTACAGCACCTCCGTCTCAAACAAACAAACAAACAAACAAAAAACCCCGAGACCCTAGCAAGGCAGAGACATAAAGCAGCTGGATGTCATGAAGAACACATCTGCAGAAGAAGACACAAGGGTCTGGTCATCCAGAGCACGCCGGCGGAAGAGCACGCTGACAGGCCGTAGCAGGCCAGCAGGCCATCGATCTGCAGAATAACATGGTGTTTGCCTGGAGCAGTCAGAGGAGAGCCCGGGCCACCGAGCAGCCCGACTCCAGGGTAAAACCATCTCCGTTCTGATTCGCCCATGTGCTGAGGGCTACTTCTACTCAATAAAACCTTGCATTCCTTCTCCAAGCCCACTTGTGATTCGATTCTTCCTGTACACCAAGGCAAGAAACCCCGGGATACAGAAAGCCTTCTGTCCTTGAGACAAGATAGATGGTCTAATTGCGCTGACTAACACAAGCTGCCTCTAGGCGGCAAACTTAAAGAGCACCCTCTAACACATGCCTACGGATGCTTCAGGAGTTGTAAACATTCACTGGTATACATTGCTGTGGGGTCGGTGCCCCACAGCCTGCCCGTCTATGTGCTCCCCTAGAGGTTGGAGCAGCGGGGCACCGAAGAAGTGAGTCACACCCCTATCACATGCCGTGTGATGGGGATGAGGGAACCTTTCACTATTTTCAATAGTGCTTAAAGTGTCCTTCCCTGAAACTCCTATTAAAGCAGTTTTCTCTGAAATTTATTTTTAGAACGCATATTTCATTTGTAGTTATATTGTTATTCGTTTTATTATGGGTTTAATATCCATTTTTCTATGCTGTATGCTTCATGATAAGAGCAGGGACTACATCTCTATGCTTTATGACTGAAAATTCAAAAGATTAAATTATTAGAATTTTTTACAAAGAAAGCATTCAATGCATAAATGTAAATTTGTAAATACATTAATTATTTTCCTGATTCCTCCTCATCTAGTCTTTTGATGAATCAGGGTCTTTCTGAACCTTTGAAGAACTCACACATGAACAGTAATCACTAATATGAAACCGATGCTATATTTAGGATATGACTTAACCAATGTAAGATTCAGTGAACTGTTCAATCCCTTGATGTGTATAGTTGTATTGGTGTCAATTACCTAGGCACATAGTAGATTTTCAGTAGTCTTTTGTTCTTTTAACACCTATAACAATGTCATTTTGTTGTTTTATCAGATCTTTTCAACTATCTGGGTCTTTTTTAGCATGTCGATTATCTTACTCTGTACTCACTGTCATTCCCATTTTCACCTTTGAAAATTGAGCAGGCAGTTCTCCATTTTAATTAAATTTCTAGATTAAAGTGTATTTAATAATGTTGCTAAACAGATTAAAATAGAAAGCATGAGCCTCACCACTTAAATATTTTTTCAGTTCAGAGATAATGTAATTTTTATATTATTATTCATCTACCTAAAAAATATCTGCAAGACAGTACCATCATGTGTCCTATCATTTTCTTACTTTCTTGTCTTTGGAGGAACATGACATTGTTAAATACCTTTTTGAGATCATAATCTCTTACAGAGTATTTCTTTTTCTACCAATATTATCAAATTTTAAAAAGTGGCAATGTGGTAAAATAAGCATTAAATATTCTTATTTAATCTACATGCAAAATACTTAACCTAAATATCTGTCTAATGACCCACAATCTAGTGAGGGAAACAGTTGAGAAGCTTACGCCATACAATGTGTGTGAGTAAAGTACCAAGAGGTTTTGAGATGGGTAAAGTTAATTCTGGATGTGGGGAAGGAATTTAGGGTTAAGTTTTACAAAATGAATGTTTTGATATGGTACTTGAATATAATATAAGATGTAGAGGTACACTTCTGGCCAATGCTAACAGTACGCATAAAGGTACTGATGTTTCAAAGACTGTGACAGATTGAGATTCATATGCAGTTGGGGATGGCTGAACAAGTAAGAAACAGAAGACATACTTGGAAGTCACAATTACTGAAATCTCAGATTGGGTTCAGTACCCAGTAGACAGCCAGGAATAAAGACATATTTAAAGTATATCTGTTTAATAAGCTTCATTGGAATGTCAGAAGTTATTACACATGCAGAAACACACAAACACACAAATGGGTCTAGAGGTCATGTTTAGGAAACTGGGCTTAAATTAAGCATAGTTCTTTATTATTGGTCTTTTCAAAGTTTTTGATGGGAATTGTGACACTTAATATGTAGGATTTCTTACATTTTAATACTGATTTTTGTGCCAAATATCTTGTGGGATTCTTATTTTATGTAATTTACTTTATACGATGATGTGGTAGAATATAGTGCATATGTAGATAGAGTAGAGATAAATAAAACCTTATTGAGTGTATTTTAATATATCAAACAGTACAGTTTCAACCAATATGTAACTTAAGTGAAAGGCTGGGACAAAATTAGAAAATCCTGCAGTGGCAGCCCAAATAATTTACTTTTTATAAATTTTATCCTAGAGGTTTTGTTTTCCTTTTTTTTTGAGACGGAGTCTCACTCTGCAGTGCAGTGGTGCGATCTCTGCTCACTTCAAGCTCCACCTCCCGGGTTCACGCCATTCTCTTGCCTCAGCCTCCCAAGTAGCTGGGACTACAGGCACCCGCCACCACGCCCGGCTAATTTTTTGTATTTTCAGTAGAGAAGGGGTTTTACTGTGTTAGCCAGGATGGTCTCGATGTCCCCACCTCGTGATCTGCCCACCTGGGCCTCCCAAAGTGCGGGATTACAGGCGTGAGCCACCGCGCCCAGTCAGATTTTGTTTTCCAAATATAAATCCTAGTATGGGGAGGAACATGCATGGAATAGATTCCAATGGGTCTGTCAGACACACACACATCTACAATCAAATGTGACTTGCAAGAAAAAAGTAAGACTGATTTGGCACAAGTACTTCTGAATAATATGTGAATTGGCCATTGCAATGAAATTGTGTTTTTCATGAAACTATAAATATCTCTTCATATTCCTATGCATTTGATCCAGTGAGGGCCCTCTTACTCTCTTAAGAATGACATAGATCACTAAGTGGCTTCATTGCTGGAGTCAGGCTTATGTATCTTTTGATGAGCATGTACTCTGTCTCAAACGGTGACAGTAGCTGTCAGGACTACAATAAAGATATGTAAGACAAAACTCTTGGCCTAAAAATATTGTCCTGTAGATGGAAAGATGAAGTCTATGCATCTGATAAATAGTGGCAGCAATTATTATATAGCATATTATAAAGGCTGAAATGAGTTTTAGAAGCCATTACTGTTATAATAGTTGGTTGTGACCTCATCCTCCAGGGAGATGGGTCCTGAGAGTCTCTGAGCCAATCAGTAGCACAAATGTGTCCATGTTTATAGAAATGCGAAGCTGTTTGGAAATGATGGGAGACATGTTGGTACAGGGATATGTATACTACTCTTCCTGTTCCATATTATGTTACAATTATATAAAGTTTGTAAATTTTTAAAAATCTCACTTAAACCACACTTCTATCTTCGACCCACAAAGAACAACCTTCCACATTCACTGGTGTTCACAGAAATTGTTCTGTAAATTTCTAGGTTAAGCCATGTTTTGATTTCACTACAGTTTTCTTCCACTTTGCCTCAAACTCTTGTCCTTATGATTCCCAAACTTGATATATCCTCTTACCTGCTGGTGTGTATATTTTCCCTTCATTATTCCAATGCAAAGATGCACCCCATCTTGCCTCAAGGAATAAATTTATGATTCAGCCTCTAGTCTCTTACAATGTGGTCTCAACACTAGATACTTAACTGACGGTCGAACAATATTTTCTTTTTTATTTGACGAAGGTGGTAGGAGTTAAAGATGGGAAAACAGACAAAGCATGAAGATGGAAGTGAAGAAGTAAAAAAGAATAGTCTTTTATGTTAAAAATTTAAGGAAAAGGATAGGGATGGAGGAAGAGAAGCAAAAGTAAAGAAAAGCAAAGGTGAAGAAAGAAAAGGAAGAAGAGAGGAAAAGGAAAAAACTTTGACGAAACTAGAAAAATTTAAGTCTGATCCTGCTCAGTACTACAGTATGAGTGTATGACCCTGAAGAGATCAGTTTATCTATATGGTCCTCATTTTATGTATCTGCCTATTGTGAAGGCTGCACAATGATTTTCAATTACATAATTCTCTGACTTTTATAAGTCATATATAAGGCCCTGGGGATTGTACAATTCTCTAGATCCCAGAAGTAAATCTCTTGAGAAAGTAGCTTGTTATGTACTAAAGACTTATCCAAGAAGCAGATTACCATACTCTTATGGTCTGTCTTGAAGGGTACATTTTATATAATTATTTATATGTCTACTTAATGAAAAGCCACACCCAAGTAATTATATTTCCAGTTGTAATTATGTCTTAAGCCCATGGAAATATTTGGCCAGCAATAGAGATTTTTTAATATAATTTGTATATTGACATCTGCTCTTTAACGCTTCAAAGAAAAAGAGTGGTTAAGAATGGAATACATATCCATTGAATGGGCTGCCCATTCACGACTCAGCTCATGGAACTAACAATGGATTAAGCATTAGTATGAAGACCTTATTCCCTTTCAGATTCCCATTTCCTTCTTCTAAGATGCTAATGAAGAAAATTCACCCTTGTTAAAATTCTAACTACCCTAAATATATTTCTTCAGAGATTAAATAGAATTCAGTGGCATTGGCTTCATCATTGTAACTATAAATATTAATATTTTGTCTTTCAAGTTTGCTGAGCATGTATAATCTAGTGAAATCTAAGTGATTTTTAAAAATTATTATTGATTTTTGAGAAGGCAGCTGAGCTTTGCCACCAGCAATGCAATCTTACTGCATTTAACACATACAATAAGATGTAAGTAATGTATACATGAAACATTTCAAAGAAATGAATAGCTAGTATCCCACTAAGCTTCCGCTTGTCACAATCTCTTTCCAGAAGGGTTATAAATGTTAGCAATAAGAAAGCTAACTGTTTCTGTGTCCTCAGTAACACATTCTAGTCTGTCACACAACATATGAGCAAAGAATCAGCAGAGATGGATGATGAATGATCAAATTAAAATCCTTCACACTCTTAGAGCAAATATTTCTCATGCTGACCATTTATCCATTTACTATTCTTTTGCAAAAACTACTGTACCCTAGAAGTCTGAATCCAAATTTGCAAAAAGTTTCCAAGCTTAGAAAATGATTTTTAGCTCTCATTTATTCCCAGCATCTACAGAAAAATAGATAAATTATAAAGTCTTATTATTAGTAACTTCATGGATGTTATCTAGAATCAGTCATGAGCTAAATTGGAACACACACACACACACACACACACACACACACACACACACGTTTTCTTATGATGGATGTAACATGAGACCAGAAAATATAGATAACATAATCAGTCTCTCGCAAATGGATTCAGAATTTACATGTGATGGGATCTCATGCGTTTCCAGGCAAGAGATCAGGTACAGCTAAAAACATAGGTTTGTTGAGAGTAGGCAGATACCTATTGATACTCATATTCTGAAACATAAATTGGTATAGTGAATATAGCATTTTCATTTTATTCAACGTGAGATCACTTATATTACTTTAGTTAGCTTTTCGGGCATCTCGACATTAATTATATTTAAAATTGATAAAGATATGATATTATGGATGCAAATAAGTCTCCTAGCACACCTTACTTCCTGAAGGTCTAGCATAACCTAAATAAAGGTAGAAAATGAAAATATGAGGTAGCAAAAGTACTGTTACTGCATACATCAAATCAGATGACTGCTTGGGGAAAAGTACCACAGTGTCTCAAGCTCATTTGAAAGGAGCAGCTTTTGAGCCATTTTTATGTCAACTACCGACCCTGAATTTATATCATCATGGAAATATTAAAATTCTTCTGTTTTTTAAGTTAAATTTTTGTTATAAAATTATTTTCACTTTTAACTAGCATTAAAAAGCTTGTGTAAGGTCGGTATAAACATTTCACAGAATAATCAAATGAGCAGTCATTCAATTATTGACAATATAAAAAATGGAAATTTACTGCAGTCTTTAAAGTATCCTGTATATGCCTCTTGCATTCTATCCATTATCCTTTTCCCTGTATTAATACTAGCCTCAGTCACTTACATGTTGAAAACACTTTTGTCCAAATTCATATTTTCCACCCTTCCTTTATTGAATTTTTAAATCAAAATAAGATGTTAATTCTTCTAAATTTGAGTTCTTATTTTTTAGAGTATATATGTATTATAGCTTGTTAGATCATTCCTTACACTAAAAATATGAAAATACTCTTCCTAAATTTTCTTTGAAATGTTTACATATTTGCCTTTGAATGGATTTGAAATTTATTTTTAAGTATGGTGTGAGAAAGATACCTGTTTTAACTTTTTTCTTATGAATAACCAAGTGTCACAGCATTATTTACTCAATACCTTTTTAGAACACCACCTTCATCATATATTGGGTTTGAATGTAGGCACATATTTATTTACGGCTTATCTGTTTTGCTCTACTTTTCTATTTTTTTCTAACCCTATACCAACACATTGCTGTTTTAATTACTATACCTAAATATTTTGAAACAAGGTAGAGTAATACTCTCAACTTGGTTCTTCATCCTTAAGAGAGTCTTTGCTATTCTTGTTGTTTTACACTTCCATGTAAACTTTAAAATTTAAAAAAATGAAGACTGGCTAAAGATTTGAGTGGAATTTGGGGAAGTATACAAATTATCTTCTGGAAAATTTACCTTTGTTATAATATAGTATTGGGGGATGTTAATATTAAATGATGTGTTTATATTTATTCAAATATCATTGACCCCTAAGACAAATAGCCACCCTTAAACAATAAAAATGAATAAATAAATATCTTGTTACTCAGAGTTGTCATGTCTATGAATTATTTCCTCACAAATATTTTTAGTAAAAAGAGACACTATTACTTTTTAGAAGAGGCACTATATATTACATACAGTGTTGTCATCTAATCCTCACAATAACTCTGAAAATATGTATTATTGAGTACCTGTTACAGAGGAAACATTTGAATGTCAATACAGTAAATAATATTCTCAGAGTCAGTAAATGAATAAGTGATGTGGTGTCATAATTGAGTATGGAATACATACTAAAGGCCATTCTGATCCCATATCTAAATCAGAAGTTCTTTACAGCTTTCAGATTAACAGAATCAGGTACCTATTAATTGTTAACAATAGTAAAAGGCCAGTCCTTAATTTTTCCTTCAAGTGTGTTATTGTTTAGAAGTCTAAATATAACTTTTCTAGATGTATATTAATATTGTTTATTACACACTATTAATATACAGATATTGATTCATATGTTTAATATGCTTTTCTAATTCTATGTTAATATTGATATCTAAAATTAATTAACAGAAACTGTGTATTTCAAGAAGCCAGTAACACTTTGCTAAAGTGAAATGCCTTTTGTGTAGCATACTCCCTTCTGACAGAAAGAGAAGCAGCTAAAGAAACAGTATGTTTGGGAAAATATATTTTGTGATTCTTTTCCAGTGCTTATATTTTATCAGTCCATAACAGTATACCAGGCTACAAAGAAAGGTAATTTTTTAAAACTCCGTTAGACAATGATTTTCAAATTATTTTCTTAAAACTCATCATTGTAATATGTAGGATACTGTACATCTTTGATTCCATAGTTGATTTAGGTTTTTGCCTAAATGAATACATTAGGTAGTAGAAGAAGTTGGTAATTATTACAGGTGAAAAATTTCTTCCCATCAAAAATGGGCTAGGGTATAGCTGGTATCATTTATCAATGTAGTGAATAACTTTGTAGATAGCTTTCACCACAATTGTAGAAGGTGGTAGACTGCCCATCATAATGCTAAAATTCATGAAAAATATTACAAACCAACACACCAAAAATTCAAGAATTGTCACTAAGTACCTGGTGGCTATAAGACCATTTATCAGTAACCTATGGTTTTGTTCTCCCCACACATTTCAACTAATTAGATTATCCAAAAAAAGCCTTGTTTCTGAAAGAAATGTGTTGAATATTGTTTAATATTAGAGGCAAAAAAGAACAGAGGAAAAAAATAACAGAGGTTACTTCCCTTGTTTTTGACTCGCAGCAGAGTGTCATGGCTGTACTAGAGGGCAATTAGGTAGAAAGATGATACAGTTATCAGACGAGACAAACTTTTAAGCCTCGTCTCTCTAGCATTTAATGTTCTCTGAAACCCATCTCAAATATCACAGAAAGGATAGAACCTTAATATTAGATAGAGGGAAATTTTATTAGATCTAAGTGTTTTTTAAGAAATTGTCAAGAAAGGCTTTCAAATATATTCTAACCTGGTCTTAGATTCCACCATGACCCCTGGTAGAAGAAGTACACTGTGAAGCACTGTTGATAGATGAGTGCTCAGTGGTGAACTACTAGAATGGGCATGCATTGCTTCCATGAATTTATAAGTAGCAATGTGGCATGTTATTCTAAAAAGTAAATAAAATTTAAAAATATCATTTAGCTTAAAGATTACATACATCATGATATAATATGTGTATGTGTATAAATATTATGTAAATCGTTGATGTTATGTTTTTTATATAGTGTGTTCAAAGCTCAGATAAATTTGAAGAGACCAAAGAAGATTCAAAACTTTATCCCTAACAACTGAAGATAACAACTTCTGATAATTTCATATATATCTTACAGCCTTTTTTATACCTTTCGTCAGTTATTGGTAAATCATAAGCAAATTAGAGGAGAGTTCTTTGAACAAATAATTTGCTGTATGTATCCTGCCACATAAATTATCCAGAGAAAAATAGTAAGCCGCTGTTTGGCAATTTTCTTAGGAATGCATTCTCCAGTGTCTAATGTCCCCATCCCTTGCATGAGTAGATTCTTCAACATAGAACTTGAGTGTCTTGTGGTTTATGAGGGCTCTATATCTGCATCCCTCATTTGAGGACAGACTCTTCCAGCCATGTTTATGTTAGATGATCTCACCAACGGGTGACCAGACTTGGAATGGGAGGATTCTTCAAAGTTGGGCCAGAATCTCTTTCTCATTAATTTAAACACAAAAGAATCAGACAAAGAAAGGGAGAAAAATAACAGTCTCCATGACACATAATTAAGTGTTTTATCACCCACTATGTCCTGCCTTACAGTGTAGGGATCAGAAAAAGATCACCTCAAGAGAGGATTGAAGCAGATAGGTAAACAGACAAAGCAATGAGGGATGGAAGTAAGATGCCGGAGTTTATAGAATCTTTCTAATTTTGAGGTAGAGGTAACCCAGTTCTACACTTTTAATGTATAAGTTGAAATGTAAGCTCTGTTTTGTTTCATATAATCAAATTTAACTTAATATCCCTATAAATCCCATCTTCTGATGCTATCTGTATCTCTGCTGAGATTATGGTGATTCCACAAAGACAAACTATCACTCTTGAAAAACATTTAAGTGACTAGCTAGTCTAGCGTGTCCTGTCTCTGAAAAAAAGTAAAAAAAAAAAAAAAAAAAAAAAATTCGTATCTTAGTATCATAATACCAGCCTATATTTCACTTACCCTGTATCTATTTATGATGGATATCATTTATCAACTAGCCTTTTTTTTTTCTTTTATGATTTTAGTCTGATTTGTTGGAAATGTGCTCTGGTTGAATGTAACATGGGGTTCATTCTACTATTCTTCTAAGCCTTGGCTCTCTGCCCATTTCTATCTGGCTATGATGTTTCACTTGTGTGTGTTTGTTTTTTTTTTAACTAATTGGAAAGTTATTAGTATGAGTGATAGAAGGAGGAAGCATAATCAAATCTGTCAAGGAAGTCACATATTTATTACCTTTCAGAATATTTGATTTGGTATTTTTGTGGAATGTTGCAAATTTTTATTTTAATTGTTCACAAAATCCAATAGAAGTCAAAATACCTGTTCTTTATCAAGCCAAAATTTTACTTGAATAACTTCAGTTATTTTAAGATAGTGGGAAGAAAATGGGATCAAGAATAGAACAAATAGGACAAGTAGCTGCACCACTTGTTACCTCTTTGGCCTTAGATGGTTACTATCATTCTTGACCATCAATTCCTTGTCTATACCTTTCAAGGTTCTTGTGAGAATCTGAAGGATCCTTAAAGTTCTGGCATATAATGGAATATATTAATCTGTGGCAATTATTCCAATAAATATTCTATATTAGTATATCAATCAAAACCGTTTGAGTTAGAGTCACTGTCTTCTAGCAAAAATTTTCTTTATCTTCTTTTATATATGAAAAGTGGATCCAAATAACAGTTGTTCCCCTACAATGTTCTTTTGAGCCATTTCAGTACCCATCATATCTATGTTATTACCATGCTAGAAGCTAAGTAGTGAGGACTTCTTCTCTAGACATTTGAGAATTTTATAAAACTGTACAATTTTAAAAGATTTTTATAACATCATAAACGAACTTGACACCTTAAAAAGCTTTAAGATATTTTTTAGTTTACCTTTCCCATCTCTGGTAACTTTTGCAAAAGTGTTTAGAATATGAATTGAACAATTATAAATGATACAAAAGTTTAAAACTGTCAGATTTTATTCCGAAAGTAATGTTGGGAAGTAATTTAATAAATTAATCAAGTTAACAATATTATGTGCTGTTGCCTACATACACTGTACTAACCAAGATAAGTAAGGCTACAGAAATGAAAGCTATTACAATTGAGTTAATTGCCAAAGATAGGTCATCTATACTCTATGTAAAAGGTGTGGCAATGGTAAGTTTTCCAGAAATTCCCACAGTGATCCTGGGGTGCTGCTTGTTAGAGAAGACTGGCCATAGAGTCAGGGAACATTGATAAAAAATTTGGTTTGGAGAAAGTTATGAGCATTATGCTAGTACATGCACAACAGTGACATAATTTAAGGGTTGTGGATGGGAATGGACAAAGTATAAATGCAAGATTCTATGAAATGAAATTGAGGTATTGGACCAAACTTGTAGACTAGAATGTATGGGTTATCGTGAAATGGCAAAAACCTTGGCCAGGCACGGTGGCTCATGCCTGTAATCCCAGCACTTTGGGAGGCCGAGGTGGACGGATCACGAGGTTAGGAGATCGAGACCATCCTGGTTAACAAGGTGAAACCCCGTCTCTACTAAAAAAAATACAAAAACAAAATTAGCCAGGCATGGTGGCAGGCACCTGTAATCCCAGCTACTCAGGAGGCTGAGGCAGAAGAATAGCCTGAACCTGGAAGGCGGAGCTTGCAGCGAGCCGAGATCGCGCCATTGCACTCCAGCCTAATCCCAGCACTTTGGAAGGCCGAGGCAGGCGGATCACGAAGTCAGGAGATTGAGACCACGGTGAAACCCCGTCTCTACTAAAAATACAAAAAAAATTAGCTGGGCGTGGTGGCGGGCGCCTGCAGTCCCAGCTACTCGAGAGGCTGAGGCAGGAGAATGGCGTGAACCTGGGAGGCGGAGCTTGCAGTGAGCCGAGATCGCGCCACTGCACTCCAGCCTGGGCGACAGAGCGAGATTCCGTCTCAAAAAAAAAAAAAAAAAAAATAGCTTTTATGAACGCAACCAATGATACCAGTTACGAATGAAGATAGGTTAATTTATGTGTAAGTATGCATATGGGGGGATAATAAAGCAATTTCTATATATCACAATACAGTCTCCGTATATGTCAAGAACTTGCTGATTAATACTTGCATTATGGGATGATATTAAATGAATGTGTCACTGATTGAAAACAAGAGCTGTTGTTGGGGGCCCAGGTACTCACTTTTAAGAGTTTACTCACTTTTTCTTTTCTAAATTATGAAATGTAAGCCACAGGCAGTTTGGACTATCAAGATATGAGCAGCTGAAGATGATGACAGGAAAAAGAAATGAGAGAAAAAGCACTCTACGAAGGTCAGCTTGCTGTCTCATTTGCAGCAAAGTTTTAAAAGAAAAATATTAGAGCTTCGTTTATTAAAAAGGAAAACTCTTCTAAGAACAACTGAACTAGAGCAAGTAAAATTTTTCTTCAAAAAATATATTACCAACATTGACAGGAGATTCAACATATTTAAAAGAAGGGAGATAGAAAAATTTGCTGGAGGCAAATGTAAAGCAATAATGAGATGTTCTTGCATAATGCAATAAAAAACCCTTTTATAGAAACTTAGAAATTACCATCTTTGAAATAATACAGAGATTTCTCTAAAACTTGACAGCACTGTCATTATCTCAGAAAAATATATAGAAACTTCTTTAAGAATAATGATGTTTAAAAACCATGAAAGAGAGACTTTTGAAACTTGGACACTATTGTGTAGTGATTTGTAGACTATTAACAATAAACTGAGTGACATTTTTATCTGTCCAATCGTGTCATCAGAAGCTAAGATGTCTGAACTAGCAAACCTCCAGTGTTATTGGGAAACGTAACTGACTGTGATATGAAGTGGATGACTTTTTGTGTGTGTGAAACTTGTAAACTATTTCCCTCTGTTTATAACTGCTGATTCTTTCTTCGTGCCACCTCCTTACCTTTCTCCTTCCTTTAAACAGCCTTTGAGTTCCTCCAATTTTGTTATTAACAATAACAGACAAGTGAGTGTTCATATATAATCTCAGAATCACTTAGAGGGAATATATAAAAGGTAAAAATGGGGCAGTAGATGTAAAGATTTTCTCTTTGCAATATTTCAAAACTGTCACCTTTTAGTTGTTTTAAGACTGATGGTTTTTTCACATAGTTAAAACAGAAAAGCAAAACCACCTAATCATTCACTTAAAAATTTAGGATTTTTGTCCTCCTTCACTAGCTCACATTTATGCTTAGGATAAATTTAAAGACAATCAATTGAATGTTGAAGAAAAATTTTAAAAATGCAAATTAACCAGGATTCCTGTGTACTAGAATGTTTTGAAGCCATAGTTCTCAACCAAAAAGGAAGCATTAAATTCATCTGCTGAGATTTTTCAGACTACACATCGTCCCCTTTATTTACTCTGCTTTAGTGCTAAGCTCCTTTTTTGTATTATTTGTTAATGTTTTTGAGAGGGGAAAAAATGGAAGTTTTGGATTATCAATATATATATTTAATATTTTCTTAAAAATATAAGTTGACAGCAGAATAGTTATATTGTAGATGTTGGCTCGGGGCATAATATAACATACATGAAAATAAGACCAAATATAATTGAGGTGTACTTTTGCAATAGTAGAGTGGGCATTTCTAGATCAAGTTGTAGTAGAAAAAAAAAAAGGTAGAAAAGTTCACTAAAAATAGTAAGTTAAAATAAATCAATCTTTTGTACAGAGCAAAAAGGCAAAGTACTAGGCCTAGTAGCCTGGTAGTTGTCCAATTAATATGTGGGGTAGTTTTCAGCCTAAAAATAATATGATAGAGTTGAGGAAATAATGTGTTGAATCACAAGACAATAACCAATTATGCTAAAATATGCAGTATGGATTGATCTAATATCTAAGTGATTTTTAATCATTGTACATATGTAAGTTGTATGTCATTCTCTCAGTTTTTGGAAACTTTATATGGAGGAAGCTAATGAACAATTAAGAATTACCTCAGAAGAGAAAAGAGGCAAATTTATGTCTTGGAAAAGGAGCTGATATTGAAAGATGAGTTCAAATATTGTGGCTGAACAAGAAGATATAAAGATTTCTAAATTTCAAATTTCAACTATTCTTATCCAAAACGGTTAGGATTATTTGTTTTTAAAGTGGATTAATTATATTATTAATGTGGATTTATAGTATTCACAGAAATCTGGATTGTTTCTCATAATTTGCATCTATCCATACATTAAAATCTTAAATTTTATTTTAATAGAGATCGGACATATAGCAATGTGGTTTTAGTACAGTGCAAACGTCTTTTATTTCAAAATGAGAGATTTCGAACGAGTCACATAAAGACTCTTAGCAGCATCAAGTTATTTGAATAAAAATTCAGAGAGACAAGAGCATGTGGCAAGTTTAGATGTGACAAATGCTAAGAGTGACTGAAGAGGTATCATATAAATACTTCTTAGAAAGAATGTTACAATCAAACCTTACTTCTCTCAAAGACATTGACCAAAATTAGGAAGATAAGAAATTCCATCTTTAGTGACAGATGTTGTTAAGTTTGACAAGAATATCTAAAAAGGGAAAATAAGAATGATGAATATGTGACTACCCTGTTTCCTTCTCACTAGCATGTTTCTATCTGTAACACAGTGAAAAACTAATAATATATAACCACTAGAACTAGAAAGTCCTTGAAACAAAAACTGTGTAAATTTGGCAGTAGGAAAATGAGTACTAGCATATATTTAGAAGGCATAACCATGGTAACTTGACCTTAGGATTGTTCTATTTTCCATTTCCCTTGTTGCCAAGTCTGTGATCAGCATTGAATATTGCTGGATTTACCCAGATATCTTCCTATCCTGAGAAAAATCATAGAACAACTTCTACAGTGGGTCAAGAAGAAAAAAACCAACATCAGAACTTTTATTTGCCCAATAAAAATAAGATATTCAAAACTGTTTCTACTGTTTGAAGGGCAGTAACAGGTATAAAATGATCAGATTCCATACACTATACTTTATTATAACTGCAAACTATTGAATAAAACATATTCTATATCTGATGCCAGAAAACTAAAGTCACCCAAAAGAAAAAATGAAGGAAAAAAATTCATTATTAAGATTCAATTCACATATTCCATTTGCATACTCCCTGCATCTCTGAAGAAGAAAGAAATTGGTCTAGTAAGAATAACCTAGAAATTAGGAACCAAGTCATGCTGGGACATCCTTAAACTCACCCCTCAATGATTCTACAGTTGAGTCATGATCTCTGAGTAAAGGGATGGTTAGCTTGAATCACAGACAAAAATATAGAGCTCTTAGTTTCTCTAATTGCTAATTTATCCTTTAGCCTGTGTGAGAGTTTCAAAAATAGCACAAACAACAATTCGAAGCTTAAAATATCAGTCTACATATTGTGATGCAATATTACAAATAGAAAACATATAGAGGCCCTTCTTCTCTTTCTCTTCAGCCCTCATATTAGAAATAAGATTCATAAAAATGGAGCTCTGCAGGTTCAGGTTCCTTGGTCTCTGATCCACAAACAGTGGATACAAAAGAATTCTCAGACAGAATTCTGTGACCCTTCATGGCCATCTTCCTTCAGAGAAAACATCAAGAAAATTGGCTCACAGATCGTGTTTCTGGAATATATAGAAAATATCTACAACAGCATCTTATTTGTGTGGGAAACTTTTCTTATAGAGGTTTTGCTTTTTGATATATGGAATTATATTTATTACTTGATTCATTTCATATTAGCGTATAATCCCAGTGCTTCTTCATTCAACAATTATCTGTGGGACGTTTTTTAAGGTACAACGTTTCAGATGTGAAAGTTAACAAGCATGAGCCCATTCTCCTAAACTTTAGGGAGATAGAGACAATTATATTTTTTAAAAAGCAGGGAAACAAAATAATGACAGATGACAAGCATTGCTGTGCTGGTAACAAAAGGATGTTTGCTGTGATAGAGAGTAAAAGGGGGTGGAAAGCTAATTAGAATATGATGCTATTTAGGGAAAGCCTCTGGGGAGGTGATATGTAAGTTGACACCTGAAAGCTGAGAAGGGAGGAATAAGTTCAAGTATATTGAGAAAAAGCTTTCAAAAAAAGAAAATAGGAAGTACAGAGTTGCTGAGGCAGAAAACTAAAGGCCAGTGTGGATGAGTAGCTTCTGAAGCCATATGCTGAAATCAAAATTTAGATAATCTTTTGTCTTCAGATTATTTTCCTGCTGTTTATGCTTGCCCACAAAGATCTATGGAGATTTGATAGATAGATAGATAGATAGATAGATAGATAGATAGATAGATAGATTTTTATTCCCGATCATTCATCTCTATTATCCATACCTGAAAATCATAAATTTCATTTTGTTTCAATAGACATCTGACATGACTCTCTACAGCAATGTGGTCTTAAAACTTCATAAACACTGCCTAGTTCATAGTTGCATGTACTTTAACTTGCAAGGCCAAATAATGAAAATAAAAAAAAGTTGAAGAAACTATAAACAATAAAGCATAATGGATGGACATATATTTATGTTTTTAAATCTCATTGGCTTGTAATGGACACATAAAGAGGAGGGGATGCCATGGGGAAAGTAGCAATCTTGACTGTCATCATTCTCTCTCTTTCCAGTGCTAATCAAAATAAAGACTCTGTTGCCAGACAACATTTCTCCAAAATGTCACTTATTTCAGCAGAGATTGGAGTAAGAAATACATACCACAAACATTGCCTATGACTTTTGACTTTAGAACTTCTCATCAGTGACTGATGCAAATTCAACAACCTGTCCCAAACATGCAATATAGTCATAGAGATTTAAGAGACTTAAGAGAGCCCCTGATTTTTTTTTAAAATAAACAACAAAAATAAACCAGGATATTAAACCAGGTAAAACAATTGCCAAGTTCTTTAACTCTTCCCTTGGGATTTCCAAACTTGAAACAATTCCTCCTGAAAATTCACTATCTTTCTTTTGAATGTAGTCAGTTCTTCTTTTCATGATCAGTTCCTGAGCCAAGATTATTCTGCAATAAAAATATTTGCGATGACATATGCAACACAAAAAGACATCCTCAAACCACTCAATTTGTTCAGTTAAAAATTCAATTTTTAAGGATCAAAACAAAGGACTAAATCTTTTCCTCTCTCAGATAACCGTCATGTCCTTTTCTACGAATCATGGCAACTCAGGAACATAATGAGGAAATAATACATATTCAAATGGTAGTCTTAAAAGGACAGTAATTATCCACATTGTATTTTTTAGAACACCCAGACTTTTTAAGGTACTGATCTAAGGATGGTTAACATTGATTCCTCTGTAGTATTATATTCACTTGATCCCATACTGATTGCTGTTTTAGGATGAAGATTTCTTTGAAAAATATACATGGGAACACTAGAAAGTAATCAAGGCTTTCATTTCTTCTTTCTTTTGTTTTTATTTTTCAGCTTCTCTGTTAAAATCAGCCTAAATGGTAGACAGGCTGCCCTTGTTCTTGTTTCGTGCCTTATTACCACCTCTGGAATAGTACCCGAATGTCTGTATTTGAATTGTTTCTCTCTTTCACTCTCTCTGTTCCCTGCCATGTCTCAGGAAGGCCTGGGTGGAAAACCCTTTTACTTCTAACAGACTAGGAAGATGTTAGATAGATATGCATTAGTTCTTCGAATGTCTGATAAATTGCTGCTCATTCATTTATGTGTCATCCATCCTTCTAACGACAACGCCATTAACATTGACTGGACTATTCGACAGAACATTAGAATTTATTAATTCATTTAATCATTTTCTTAAGAAAGACTGATCTTTCAAAGTAGCTGCCTAGGTGAGCCAAGCAAACACTTTTCATTACTATAGAGAGGGCATCCTTTACAAGAAAGGAGTGAAAACTAGTTGCATGAATAAGTAAAAGTAGAATTTTTCCAACAGCCTGAGATATTTGAGAGAAAACACAATTAGAAAAAGTAAGGCATTCCTGGAAATAACATTAAGCAGATTTCAACAATATAGTGATAGCTCTGTAATTTATCCTAACTATCTGATCACCGAGATGAGGTAAATAACTTATTGTATTGCCATTAGAGGGAAATAGAGGAGCCACAAAACCAAGCTTGGTAAGTTACAGTGTTTTGATGTGTTAAAGCCCATTGCCTTCCTCAATAAAATAAAGCATGATACCCAGGACCAGCACAGGAGAGACAATCATCATATAGAAAAGGAAAGTTGAGTCTAGCACTGCCAAACAATTACTTCCCTTTGAGGCTCTAGCCTCTACTGATTACTGTTTATTTGACTTTGAATAAGTTACTTTATTTTCTGTGCCTGAGTTTCTCATCTATTAAGACTTACTAATAATACTAACAAACATCATTGTTGAGAAAATACAGGGTAGAACTTAAAAAGAATGTCTGAAATATTTTAGCTATTATTATTAATGCTGCCACTACCACATGGGCCTTAAGGGTTACTCTTGCTCCTTTGGTGTGTCTTCTAAGTGATTGCTTAAATATTTTTCCCAAGCAATCTATAGCTGAGATAAATTAGAAAGGATCACTTAAACAATGTGTTACTAAAGAGTCAGAGCAGGCACAAGAGAAATGAACACTGAGCTATAACACACAATTAGATCATTTGGCTTAGAAAATACAGATCTCTCATCTTCAGCTTAGACTGGCCTTAAATACCTCCCCATACCCAGCTGTTGGTTATGACACCTGGTGGAAGCTTTCATAAATTCATTTCTTTTTGAAAATATTTTAAGTTCCAGGGTGTATGTGCAGGATATGCAGGTTTGTTACATAGATAAACGTGGGCTATGGTGGCTTACTGCTCCCATTAACCCATCACCTAAGTATTAAGCCTAGCATGCATTGGCTATTTTTATTGTTGCTCTCCTTCCCCCTGTAGCCCCCACAGGTCCCAGTGTGTGTTGCTCCCCTCCCTGTGTCCATGTGTTCTCATGGTTCAGCTCTCACTTATGAGTGAGAACATGCAGTGTTTGGTTTTTTGTTCCTGTGTTAGTTTGCTGAGGGTAATGGCTTCCAGCTCCATCCATGTCCCTGCAAATGACATGATCTCATTCTTTTTGATGGCTGCATAGTATTCCATGGTGTATATGTACAATATTTTCTTTATCCAGCCTATCATTTATGGGCATTTGAGTTGATTCCATTTCTTTGCTATTATGAATAGTGCTGCAATAAACATATGCATGCATGTATCTTTGCAATCGAATGATTTATATTCCTTTGGGTATATACCCAGTAATGCATTGCTGATCAAATTGTATTTCTGGTTCTAGGTCTTTGAAGAATTGTCACACTGTCTTCCACAATGGTTGAACTAATTTACATTCCCACCAACCATGTAAAATGTTCCTGTCTCTCCACAGCCTTACCTGCATCTGTTGTTACTTTTTAATAATAGCCATTCTGACCATGATGAGATAATATCCCGTTGTAGTTTGATTTGCAGTTCTCAGTGATGTTGAGCTTATTTTCATATGTTTGTTGGCTGCATAAATGTTGTCTTTTGAGAAGTGTTTGTCCTTTCCCACTTTTTAATTAGGTTTTTTGTTTTCTTTCTTGTAAATTTGTTTAAGTTCCTTTTAGATGTTGGGTATTAGACCTTTGTCAGATGCACAGTTTGCAAATATTTTCTCCCATTTTGTAGGTTGTCTGTTTACTCTGATGATAGATTCTTTTGCTCTGCAGAAGCTCTTTAGTTTAATTAGAGTCCGTTTGTCAATTTTTGCTTTTGCTGTCATTGCTTTTGGTGTTTTTGTCATGAAATCTTTGCTCATACCTGTGTCCTAAATGGTATTGCCTAGATTTTCTTCTAGGGATTTCACAGTTGTGGATTTTACATTTAAATCTTTAATCCATATTGAGTTAACTTTTGTATAAGCTGTAAGGAAGGGGTCCAGTTTCAATTTTCTGCATATGGCTAGCTAGTTCTCCCAGCACCAATCCTTTCCCCATTGCTTGTTTTTGTCAGGTTTGTTGAAGATCAGATGGCTGTGGAAGTGTGGTCGTATTTCTGAGTTCTCTATTCTGTTCTGTTGGTCTATGTGTCTGTTTTTTGTACCAGTACCATGCTGTTTTGGTTAATGTAGCTTTATAGTATAGTTTGAATTTAGGTAGTGAAAGGCCTTCAGCAGCTTTGTTCTTTGTGCTTAGGATTGTCTTGGCTATATGGGCTCTTTTTTGGTTCCATATGAATTTTAAAATAGTTTTTTCTAATTAATTTTGTGAAGAATGTCAATGGTAATTTGATAGAAATAGCATTGAATCTATAAATTACTTTGGGCAGTATGGTCATTTTCACAATATTGATTATTTGTATCAGTGAGCATGGGAAGTTTTTCTACTTGTTTGTGTCCTCTTTGATTTCCTCGAGCCATGGTTTATAGTTCTCTGTGAAGAGGTCCTTCACTTCCCTTGTTAGCTGTATTCCTACATATTTTATTCTCTTCATAGCAATTATGACTTGGGAGTTCATTCATGATTTGGCTCTCTGCTTGTCGGTTGTTGGTATATAGGAATGCTTGTGACTTTTGCGCATTGATTTTGTATCTTGAGATTTTACTGAAGTTGCTTATCATGAAGCTTTTGGGCTGAGAAGATGGGGTTTTCTAGATACGGGATTACGTCATCTACAAACAAAGACAATTTGACTTACTCTCTTCCTATTTGAATATGCTTTATTTCTTTCTCTTGCCTGATTGCCCTGGTCAGAACTTCCAATACTTGTTGTTGAATAGGAGTGGTGTGAGAGAGCATCCTTGTCTTGTTCTTGTTTTCAAGGGGCGTGTTTCCAGCTTTATCCCATTTAGTACGATATTGGCTGTGGGTTTGTCATAAATGGCTCTTATTATTTTGAGGCATGTTCCTTTAATTCCTAGTTTATTGAGAGTTTTTAACATGAAGGGACGTTGAATTTTATTGAAGGACTTTTCTGTGTCTATTGAGATAATCATGTTCTGTTTATGTGATGAATTACATTTATTTATTTGTGTGTATTGAATCAGCCTTACATCTCAGGGATGAACCTGACTTGAAGGGGATGGTGGATAAGCTTTTTGATGTGCCGCTGGATTTGGTTTGCCAGTATTTAATAAAGGATTTTTGCATCAATGTTCAGCAGGGATATTTACCTCAGTTTTCTTTTTTTCTTGTATCTCTGCCAGGTTTTGGTATCAGAATGATGCTGGCTTTATAAAATGAGCTAGAGAGGAGTTCCTTCTTTTCAATTGTTGGGAATAGTTTTAGAAGAAATGGAATGAGCTCCTCTTTTTTGTTAGAATTCAGCTGTAAATCTGTCTGGTCCCTGCTTTGTTTGGTTGGTAGGCTATTTATTACTGCTTCAATTTCAGAACTCATTATTGGTTTCTTCAGGGATTCACCTTCTTCCTGGTTCAGAATTCTCAGGGTGTATGTTTCAGGAATTTATCCATTTCTTCTAGTTGTTTTTTTTTTCAGTTGTGTAGAGGTGTTTATAGTATTGTCTTATGGTTGTTTGTATTTCTGTGTGGCCAGTGGTGATATCCTGTTTATCATTTGTTACTTTGTCCATTTGATTCTTCTCTCTTCTTTATTAATCTACAGAGCAGTCTATTTTGTTAATTTTTTCAAAAAACCAGCTCCTGGATTCAATGATTTTTTTTAAGTGTTTTCTCTGTCTCTATCTCTTTCAGTTCTGCTCTGAACTTGGTTATTTCTTGTCTTCTGCTAGCTTTGAGGTTTGTTTGCTCTTGGTCCTCTAGTTCTTTTAGTTGCAATGTTAGGATGTCAATTTGAGATCTTTCTAGCTTTTTGATGTGGGCACTTAGTATTATAAATTTCCCTCTTAACACTGCTTTAGTTGCATCCCAGAGATTCTGGTACATTGTCTCTTTGTTCTCCTTATTTTCAAAAAACTTCTTGATTGCTGCCCTAATGTCATTATTTACCTAGGGGTCATTCGGGATATGGTTGTTCAATTTCCATGTACTTGTGTGATATTGAGTGAGTTTCTTAATATTGAGTTCTAGTTTAATTGTGGTCTGAGAGACTGTTTGTTATGATTTTAGTTCTTTTGCATTTGCTGAGGAGTGTTTTTCTTCCAATTATGTGATCAATTTTAGTGTAAGTGCCATGTGGTGCCGAGAAGAATGTATATTCTGTTGTTTTTGGGTGGAGTTGTTTTTGTGAGAATATATATTCTGTTGTTTTGGGGAGAGTTCTGTCGATATCTATCAGGTCCACTTTATTCAGAGCTGAGTTCAATTCCCGAATATCCTTGTTAATTTTCTTTCTCAGTAATCTAATATTGACAGTGAGGTGTTAAAGTCTCCCAATATTATTGTGTGGGAGAGTAAGTCTCTTGGTAGGTCTCTAAAAATGTGTTTTATGAATCTTGGTGCTCCTATATTGGGTGTGTATATTTTTAGGATAGTTAGTTCTTCTTTTTGAATTGAACCCTTTATCATTATGCAGTGTCCTTGTCTTTTTTGATCTTTGTTGGTTTAAAGTCTCTTTTGTCAGAAACCAGAATTGCAACCCCTGCTTTTTTCTGCTTTCCATTTACTTGGTAAATTTTCCTTCATCGTTTTATTTTGAGCCTATGTCTATCTTAGCACGTGAGATGGGTCTCTTGAATATAGCACACCAGTGGGTCTTGACTCTTTATCCAACTTGCCATTCTGTGTCTTTTTATTGTGGCATTTAGCCCATTTATTTAATAACCATATTTAAGGTTAATATTGTTATGTATGAATTTGATCCTGTAATGATGATGCTGGCTGGTTATTCTGGAGATTTGTTAATGTAGTTGCTTCATAGTGTCACTGGTCTGTGTACTTCAGTGTATTTTGAAGTGGCTGGTTTTTCCTTTCCATATTTAGTGATTCCATCAGGAGCTCTTTCAAGGCAGGCCTGGTGGTGTCAAATTCCCTGAGCATTTTCTTATCTGGAAAGGATTTTATTTCTCCTTTGCTTATGAAGCTTAGTTTGGTCAGATATGAAATTCTGAGTTGGAAATTCTTTAAGAATATTGAATATTGTCCCCTAAGCTCTTCTGGCTTGTAGGGTTTCTGCTGAGAGGTCTGCTGTTAGTCTGATGGGCTTCCTTTGTAGGTGAACTGGCCTTAATCTGAATTTTCTGGATTTGAATGTTGGCCTGTCTTGCTAGGTTGGGGAAGTTCTCCCGAATATCCTGAAATGTATTTTCCAACTTGGTTTTGTTCTCCCTGTCTCTTTCAGGTACCCCAATCAGTCATAGACTTCGTGTGTTTACATAATCCCATAGTTCTCAGAGGTTTTGTTTGTCACTTTTCATTCTGTTTTATCTAATCTTGTCTTCCTGTTTTATTCCAGCAAGATAGTCTTCAAGCTCTGAGACTCTCTCCTCTACTAGGTCTATTCAGCTATTCATACCTGTGGTTGCATTGTGAAGTTCTTCTGTTGTGTTTTTCAGCTCCACTGGGTCATTTATGTTCCTCTCTAAAGTGGTTATTCTGGTTAACAGCTCCTGTAATGTTTTATCATGGTTCTTAGTTGCTTTGCATTGGGTTAAAACATGCTCCTTTAACTCAGCAAAGTTCATTATTACCCACTTCTGAAGCTTACTTCGGTAATTCATCCATCTCCGTCTCAGCCCAGTTCTGCGCCCTTCCTGGAGAGGTGTTACAATCATTTGGAGGAGAAAAGGCGCTCTGGGCTTTTGAATTTTCACTATTTTTGTGTTGATTTTTTCTCATGTTTGTGGGTTTATGTATCTTCCTTCAATCTTTGAGGCTGCTGAACTTCAGATGGGTTCTTTTGGTATTTTTGTTTTTGTTGTTGTTAGTCTTCTTGTTGTTGTTGCTGTTTGTTTCTTTTTGCAATAGTCAGGCCCCTCTTCTATAGGGTGCCTGTGGTGGATGGGGGGTTCACTCAAGACCATTTTCACCTGTGTCCCCCACCCCGCAACTGGAGTTGTCACCATTGGAGGCTGCAGAAGAGCAAAGATGTCTGCCTGCTCCTTCCTCTGGGAGCTCCCTCCTAGAGGGGCAGTGATCTGATGCCACCAGAACTCTCCTTTATGAGGTGTCTGGTGACCTCTGTTGGGAGGTCTCACCCAGTCAGGCAGCACAGGATCAGGAACCCACTTGAAGAAGCAGTCTGGCTTCTTGGCGGAGTGGGTGCACTGTGCTAGGGGCAGTCCCACTTGTCTGGACTGCTTGGACTTGGGAAAGACTAAGTCCCCTGAGCTCGGGATGTGGCTGCTCTTCTCCCCAGTGGCTCCTTCCCTCCCCAGTGGCTCCTTCCCTCCCCAGTGGCTCCTTCCCGGGGAGATCAGAGTTCTGTCCCTAAATCCCTGGCTGGAGTTGCTTAAATTCCTGCAAGGAGATTCTGTCCCATTAGGAAGGATGGATCCAGGCCCATCTAAAGAAGCATTCTGACCATGATGTGCCACAGCCACTGCGCTGCGCTGTGGGGAATTCCTCCCAGTACAAATTGCCCAGTCTCCCTGGCACTGGCAGGGGAAAACGGCCGACTGGAGCCACAGTGATGGCGGCCACCCCTCCCCCAGGGAACTCAGTCATCTTAGGCAGTCTCCATCCAGCTGTTGCTAATTATAACCCGAGCGGCCACTGAGAGTCTGCACAGTTTTGCTCTTGGGACCCAGTGCCCTGGTTGTGTGAGTTCACGAGGGGATCTCCTGATCCACGGGTTGCACAGATCCATGGCAAAAGCGTGGATCTCCCTGGTGGGTTAGCACATTCACTCACTGCCTCCACTGGCTGCGGCAGTAGTTCTTCTTATTCCATGTGGCTCCTGGGTGGGCCATTATTCCACCCTGATTTTCCTTGCTCTCTGTGGGTCATGCCAACCACCTAGTCAGTCCCGAGGAGGGAACCTGGATACCTCAGCTGAAGATGCAGGATTCACTTGCAGTTTTCATTCTTGGTGGTAGCCACTGACTGGAGCTGCTTCTAATTGGCCATCTTGGTCCCTCCCCTTAAATTCATTTCTTAATCATCTGTAAAAGGGTTTCAACTCCTCAGAAAATCAGACCCAAGGACATAGTTTACAAATGGAGATGAATATTTTCTGTTAAAGTCTTCATTTTACATGTTTCCTTTTTAAGATAGCCCTCTTCCATAGATGAAATAGAAAATATCCTTCATCCTGTTCAAGAAACAGCCCACCATTAACCTATGTGCCAGGTCTTCATGGAGCTGCTTCGTCAGAATGCAAAAATGACACAGCTGACACCAGTGCAATGGGAGGTACCATCATGATCTCCCTTCACAGAGTAACCAAGAGGGATAGGATTTATACAGTGAAGAAAACCACAATAGAAAATCATTGAAATACAAACTAAAAGTTAATTCAGGAAAAAAGTTTTCCCCTCACTAACAGGTTGAAGTGTCCAGAAATTTGTAATATTCACCTTTCTTTATTAACAACGAAGTTTATACTAAAGTGCAAAAGCTGCTTGATCAACAATGCATTATTCTAACTTCAACCATTTGTGCATTGATTTTAATGCATGTTAGTTCATTAGATAAGACAGTAACAGAAAAAGTTGGATGGGAAGATGAGATAGGAAAAGGCTTCTGGACTATGAACTGTTCATTAGCCCCTTGCTTTGAGGAGGTATATGGTGAAATATTTTGGCTAAACAGAGGACAGCATAAATCAATAATTAGAACCCTAAGGCACCAGGTCTATGGGGAAGGGTTTAGGCAAGGCAGTTAAGCATTGCGAGAATAAAATGCAGAGCTCTAGTTCTTAATAATTAATAATACGATTTACTGAGACTATGAACAGACAGATGGCAAAATTGATAGAGCTAGACATAGTTTAAGAGATCAAACATTTTGAGCATTAGTGCCTAAAATTCTTGGACAGATCAAACAGTGGTCATACATAAAGAATTCAAAAAACTAGAGATTTGGACAGTAGAAGAAATGTGTAAAAGGCAAAAGAATCTCAAGAGTGGTAATTTTTTTTTCTTTATCATCTCTGTTCAGAAAATAATATAAAAAGGATCACAAGGGAGATGAAGCAGGAGAGCGTCCTCTGTGGCCAAAAGCATTTATCAATAACCTTTAGAGAGCACAGTGATATTATGGCAGGGTCAGGAAGAGCAATAGTTCTTTTAATATGATGATATTCAAGAGAAACTGCTGGGACTGTCGCCTGGCTAGCACTTAAGTATCTGTAGTGAACTTAGTCGTTTACCATTGAAAATGAGTAATAGGCCTGTGTTAAAAAGATAACTCTGCTATACATTTAATATATAAAAGGGGGTAATGAAATTACATCCTTCTTCACCTTAACTGGATTTTGCTTGCCTCAAATTCAGTCAATGACCTTGAAAGTAAATGTCATACCCAAATAAGACTAGATCTAAAATGCACCTGAGAAGTTTCTAGGGTGAAAGTTTCACCTTCAAAGGCATGGAACTGGATAGATACACAGTGTCTACCATTGTCCTTCTCTCTTTTGGTCTTATAAAATATTATCACAGCCATTAAGATGAAAAGCTTTAGATTTTGAAATGAAGGGAAAGGTTAGGACCATTTAGTTTTGTCTATTCCATCTTTGCCTCCACCTGACTATATGGCTGATTAACTCAATTCATCTCTCTGGGGTCAGCTTGCTGCTTTAAAGGAGGTATTGGAGTTAATATGTTATGAAATAGCTTATTTTTTCTAAGACTTCAGGGTTCAGTGGGAGGCATGGCTAATGCCCAGTTTTCATGGCTCTTTTTATCTTCCCAGGCCCTGGTTGTTAGACATTCCATGTGACTAATTCTCAGTTGAGGTGACAGGGTTCATCTCCAGGCAGAAACATAGAAAACCAAGGAGCAACAAAACCAAGTCCCCACAAAGCAGGGTGGAAAAACCGGGAGTGCTCATACTTTGCCACAGGGACCAAGGAGGTAGTGCATTCCACATGATGCAGTCTCACGTGGTGGTCCCTCTATTGGCCTAGGTCTCCAGTGATATAGCAAATTTCACCTTCCAAACCACATTAGACATGTGTGAATGAGAAAGAAATCTATCATAAGCCACTGAGATATCAGGATTGTTTCCACAGAATAATCTAGACAATCTTAAGTAGTAAATGTTCTCTAAAATGATTTCTAAATATGACATGTTGTCTCATTCCTTTATTTCTGTATCCAAGGGTGTCATTTTGAAATCGTGACTACTGATAGTTTGTAAGAGCAACTTATAGAGATCGCATACTGAAAAGGGAAATAGTAATGCTTTTAAAAGTATTTTATAGTTCCATGGGATCATACAACTGGAAGGAATGTTTGAGCAACATTCATTCAAATTTTATTTTAAAGATAGAGAAATTATGGCCAAAAGACAAAAGATAAAGGCACAGATAAGAGCTAATGTCACTTTAAGATTATCTATATAAGACAAGTATTAATTAGAGTTCAATCTCTATGATTTTTCTAGAAAATAATAAGGCAACATATCAGGCTGTAGATATGTTTCCACATGTATGAGTCTAAGGCACCTTAAATTTTTAAAATGTTTTTAACTTTCTGAGGTAGATACTTTGGTAATTTTCTAATACTTCCCCTATTTTATTTGGAAAAAAAATTATTAAAGTACCGTAATTATTTCCTCTTTTCAAGCTTACAAAAGTTAGCTAAAAGAAAAAAAAAAATGTCAACTGGTCCTTTTAATAGGCGAGTAGAAATCAATGATGGACCCCCTGTTGCCATGATATAACCATAAATCATTTTCAAAATGAAAATTAAAAAACAAAAATTTAAAAGTTCATTGAATCTAGATATTCCAATTTTAAATTGGGATGTATTAGGTGACGTTTTCTTGGTTATGTAACAAGTTAGTAGCAGAACTAAAACTAACTCTCTCTCTCTATATATATTTTTTGTTTGTTTGTTTTGAGACGGAGTTTCGCTCTTGCCACCCAGGCTGGAGTGCAATGTTGCAATCTCAACTCATTGCAACCTCCGCCTCCCGAGTTCAAGCGATTCTCCAGCCTAAGGCTCTCAAGTAGCTGGGATTATAGGCTTCTACCACCACAGCACGCTAATTTTGTATTTTTAATAGAGACAGGGTTTTACCACATTGGCCACGCTGGTCTTGAACTCCTGACCTCAGGTGATCCGCCCACCTTGGCCTCCCAAGGTGCTGGGATTACAGGTATGAGCCACCATGCCCAGCTTATATATTTAAAAAAAATTTTTTTTCCCCATTTAAACCTAACCACTGCTGTAAGAATGTGTGGACAAACTCTATTCATGTTCATGACCTCTCATTCCTGAATGTCTTCTTTCTTTAATGTATTATATTGGGGTAGATTTCCCCATTGCTTTATAACATAGTACTTTTCTGTCTTTGAACTTTTTGTAAGCTAAAATGCTTATAATTAGAGATTTTTAGTTAATTAACTTCTTTTCACATGAAATTTCTCTCCTCTGCTGCTGTATTCTTTTTTATCTTGCTCAGTCTGGTGATAAAATTGATTTTTTATAAGAATTTATGATTAAGCTCACTTTTATTTGATACTAATTTTCTGACTAATTCAGAGACAAGTGAAAAGATAAACTTATCTTCAATATTAGTTTAAGATGCAACTTTTTCTTCAAAGGCATGTTGCCTTATAGCAAGCAACAAAAGTGGTTAATAACTACAGTAGAGAGGGATAGTAATTTTGAGGCAAGATGGCCCACTAGACACAGCTCAGAGACTCTTCCGCTAAGACCATCCAAAATATCTGTAAACCATCACACTTGAAATAGATGTTTTGAGAGAAAGCACTGGAAGTTGATAGAGAGGCAACAGACACCATTGTTGAAGAGTGAGAAAGCTGGAAAGCCTTTTTGGGGTCCTTTGGCACAAGGACTGGCCTTGGTCCCAAACCTGACCTAAGGGGCTAAGAGCCTGTATGCTGGCTCATACTCTTAAGTTCAACCTACTGGACTGTACCCTAAATTATACCACCAAATAAAAATGCATTGCTTCAACACACACCACCTGGGAAACCCACCACAGGAACCTATCTACAACCAAGGAATTCACACAGATCTTTGGCCCGCTAAAAGCACCCAGAAATAAAGCCAATTGACTATATACAACATGTATCACAGTCAATTCGTCAAGGGAAAAAAGAATGTAAAAACAAAAATCCCTCTCCAGTGACAGCATGTTCAAAAACAAAAAGGCATGCCAGCTCCCTCAGATGAGGAGGAATAAGTAAAAGAACTCTGACAATTCAAAAAGTGAGTGTTTTGTTACTTCCAAGTGATTGCAATAGCTCCCTAGCTGTAGACCCTAACCAGATTGAAAGGTCTGAAATGATAGACACAGAATTCTGAATCTGGATAGTGAAGGAGCTCAATGAGATCTAAGTTATATGTTGAAATTCAATCTGAGGAAGCCAGAGAAATAATACAAGATTTGAAAAATGGCACAGCTATATTAAGAACAACCAAATTGAACTTCTGAAATCGAAAATTCACTACAAGAATTTCAAAGTACATTTGCAAGCCTTAACAACAGACTAGACCAAACATAGGGAAGAATTTCAGAGTGTGAAGACTGTTCCTTCAAATCAACTCAGAGAAAAATGAAGAAATTAAAATGATGAACAAAACTTCCAAGCTACCTGCAATTATGTAAAGCAACAAAACCTATGATGAACTGGCATTCCTAAGATAGGAGAAGAGAAAGTAAGCATCTTGGAAAACATATTACAGAAGATAATCCATGAAAATTTCCCTCTGTCTTCCTAGAGAAGTCAACATGCAAATATAAAAAATTCTGATAAACCCTGTAACATATTATACAAGATAACAATCCTCAGTGCACATAGTAATCAGTCTTTCCAAGGTCAGTGTGAGAAAAAAATCTTAAAAGCAGCTAGAGAAAAGGACATACCATCTATGATGAGAAACTGATCAGGCTAACAGCAGACATCTCAACAGAAACCTTACAAGGTAGAAGAGATTGGAAGGCTATTTTTATCATTCTTAAGGAAAAGAACTTCTAAAAATAATTTCATGTCTGCCAAACTAAGTTTCCTAAATAAGTGATGGTGAAATAAAATCTTTCCCAGACAAGCCCTAGCTAAGAGGATTTGTTAGCAATGGACTGACCTTACAAGAGCTGTTTAATGATGTTCTAAACATAGAAATGAAAGAACAATAATTCCCACAAAACACATATATAGACCAAGGACCTAGTGTATTAGGGTTCTCCTTTTTAAAATTTTTTTTATTATTATTATTTTGAGACAGAGTCTCACTCTGTCACTCAGGCTGGAGTGCAGTGGCACGATCTTGGCTCACTGCAACCTCCAATTCCCAGGTTCAAGCAATTCTCCTGTCTCAGCCTCCCAAGTAGCTGGGACTACAGGTACATACCACCCGGTTAATTTTTGTATTTTTAGTAGAGATGGGGTTTCACCATATTGGTCTAGCTGGTCCTGAACTCCTGATCTCAGGTGATTCACATGCCTTGGCCTACCAAAGTGTTGGGATTACAGGTGAGCCACCATGCCCAGCCTAGTCAGGGTTTTCTACAGGGACAGAACTAATAAGGCATATTATATAGGGGAGTTTATTAAGTATTAATTTACACAATCACAGAGTCCCACAATAGGTAGTCTGCACGCTGAGAAGCAAGGAAAGCCAGTCTCAGTCCCAAAACTGAAGAACTTGGAGGTCGATGTTCAAGGGCAGCAAGCATCTAGCACAGGAGGAAGATATAGGCTGGGAGGCTAGGCCAGTCTAGTCTAGTCACGTTTCTCACCTACTTTGTATTCTAGCCACACTGGCAGCTGATTAGGTGGTGCCCATCCAGATTAAGGGTGGGTCTGCCTTTCTTAGTCCACTGACTCGAATGTTAATCACCTTTGGCAACACCGTTACAGACATACCCAGGATCAATACTTTGCATCCTTCATTCCAATCAAGTTGACACGCAGTATTAATCATCACAAGTCCACTCCTTGTCAACTTGAACCCATACACATCTCCTGAGATCATATATGATCTTCAAATAAAGAAAATAATAAGGCCATAATTACACCTAACATAATACAACTGTCCTTTGTACAACTAGAAACATACCAATCCCCAACTCAAATACTATTAAGCAAAGTTAACAATACTTAAATGTTGATATGAAGTCAATAAATCTTATGTCACATAATAAAGGAGAAAGGAAATAAAATGAAGATATTTTTGTAGTACAAGTGTACACATGCACAAACATGTTTTTAACAAAAGAAAGGAAATACTCATGAAAATTACAGTCCTCATTTCTGCAGCTGGTCGTGTGGTTGTAGCTGGTATTGATTATTTGCTCAAGAAATGAAACCACATTTGGTATAGCAGCTGCAATTGGAGTCACCACTTGGTTAAACTTAAAATAATCCACTTTCACTTTCTAAGATCCATCTATCTTCTGCACAGGCCAAATGGGAAAGTTGAATGGGGATGTGGTGGGAACAACCACCCCGTGTCTTTCAAGTCGTTGATGGTGGCACTTATCTCTGCAGTCTCTCCAGGGATGCAACATTGTTTTTTATTTACTGTTTTTCTAGGTAGAGGCAGTAATGTCTTACATTTGACCTTTCCCACCATAATAGTCCTCACCTACCAGTCAGGAAGCCAATGTGGAAGTTCTGCCATCTGCTAATATGTCTATGCCAATTATACATTCTGGCACTGGGGAAATGACCACAGGATGAGTTCAAGGACTTACTGTAAGTAAGACCTGAGAACTCCATTACTTACCTGACCTCTATAAGCTCCTACTTTAACAGGAGGACCACAGTGATGTTTTGGGTCCCCTGTAATAAATGTCAGCTCAGAGCCAGTGTCCAGTAGTCCCTGAAATGTCTGATCATTTCCCTTTTTCCAATACACAGTTACCCTGGTAAAAGGCCAGAGGTCTTCTTGGGGAAGGGTGGGAGGAAGATTAACAGCATACATTGCCGGTAGTGTACTGGGGTCCTTCCTCAGGGGGATCCAGCCTCCCCTTCATTCAAGGGGTTCTGGGTCTGTAAACTGGCTCAAGTCTGGAAATTGATTAAGGCCATGATTCTCTGGTTTTATATTTCAAATAAGTATTTTGTCCTTTCGGCCTAGAAGTTTTCTGCTTATATAAATTGAGTAGGAATGCAGTAGGCTTCCTGTCAATTTCAATTCTAGGAACACAGTGATTTATTAGCCAATGCCAGAGCTCTACACAAGTCAGACTATTTTGATTGCTGCTTTACTTCTGCTGTCAATTACTGTAGGTATGCCCACCTTACCTTTGATGGTTGAGTGTTGCCACTTGGTCCCTGCCACCTCAGGACCCAATTATTTCCATTGTATTTAAATTTTATAGTTGAGTGACTGCAGTTCCCACTATTAGATCTGACATACAGAGAAGAACAATTACAGGGCCCTTAAAAGATGGAGGTGCTGCCCTCACAAATATATTTCACAAGGCACTTGTCAAAGGTATATCTCCTAGATCCTCCCAGCTGGGATGAGTAGGTCTAAAGTGACTAATCCACTCCACCATCCCAATCTCCCTAAGCCTTTGGATTCCTTCCTCTACATAAAACCAAGGAAGATCAGGCATTTCCAGCTCACTCACAGTGGGCCATCTTTTAATCCATATTTCTGCTAACCAAGCAAATAAACTATTAGAATCCTTTTTAACTCCCTGAGCTGCAACATTAAATGCAGAGTCATTACTTAGTGGGTCCAAATCAATAAATTCAACCTAATCCAACTCTATGTTTCTTTCACCATTATCTCATACCCTTAATATCCATTCCCATGCCTGTTCTCGAGATGTCTGCTTATATAAATAAGAAAACTCAACCAGTTATTTTCAAGTGTAGTGCACCTCCTCATGGGTCACTGTCAACCTCACCTCTAGGGACCCACCAGGACTTTAGTTACAGGTCTAGAAGCAAAAAGGGGTGTTGGGGGTGGCCCCTAAGGAGAATCAACATTATTTTTCCTGGCAACTGCCTTGGGGGAGGCCATCTCTGTTGCCTCAGGCAGCAGAGGGTTTATCTCCTCAGACAAAGGTGGAAAGGCTGATGACAGCATGGGTCGGGGAGGGGATGTTGATAGGGAAGCTGTTTCTTCTGGCAAAATAAGGTTCATCAGAGTTTACAAATGCAGTGTCCTCAGCTTTGTTGGAGTCCTCTCACAAATCCCCATTCCACATTGCAGGGTCCCATTCTTTTCCAATCAATGCCCTCACCTTAACAGTGACATCTGGCAAGGCTGTGCATGCACCTTTTGTTGCAGGTCAAGAAAGTCTTAATTCATTCCAGCATTAACACAAAAGTCCAAGTACAAAGTCTCATTTGGGACAAGGCAAGTCCCTTCTGTCAATGAGGCTATAAAATCAGAAGCAGGTTAGTTACTTCCTAGATGCCATGAAAGTACAGGCATTTGGTAAATACATCAGTTCCAAATGGGAGAAATTGGTCTAAAAAAGGGGGCTACAGGCCCCGCACAAGTCTACAATCCAACAGGACAGTCAAATCTTAGTTTTGAAATGATCTCCTTTATGTCTCATATCCAGGTCATGCTGATGCAAGAGGTGGGCTCTCACAGCCTTAGGGAATTCCACCATGTTGCTTTGCAGAGTATATCCCTTCTTCTGGCTGCTTTCATGGGCTGGCATTGAGTGTCTGTTGCTTTTCCAGGAGCATGGTGCAAGGTGTTGGTGGATCTGCCATCCTGGGGTCTGAAGGATGACGGTCCTCTTCTCACAGCTACTCTAGGTGGTGCCCCAGTGGGGACTCTGTGTGTGGGATCCAACCCCACGTTTCCCTTCTGTCATACCCTAGCAGAGGTTCTTCAGGAGGGCTCCCACCATGTAGAAAACTTCTGCCTGGACATCCTGGTATTTCCGTACATTCTCTGAAATCTAGGTGGGAGTTCTGAATCCTCAGTTCTTGAATTCTGTGCACCCACAGGCCCATCATCACTTTTAAGTTACCAAGGTTTGGGGCTTGCACCCGCTGAAACAATGGCCTGAGCTGTATGTTGAGCCCTTTTAGCCAAAGCTGGTATGCAGGGCACCAAGTCACTGCATACCAGACTGCACAAAGCACCAAGGCCCTGGGCCCAACCCATGAAACCATTTTTTTCCTCCTCAGCTTCTGGGCCTGTAATGAGAGGGGCTGCCATGAAGATCTTTGAGATGCCTGGAGACATTTTCCCCATTGTCTTGGTTCCTTGTTACTTTTGGTTCCTCGTTACTTATGCAAATTTACATTTTGGTTCCTTCTTACATTTGGTTCCTTGTTACTTATGCAAATTTACATTTTGGTTCCTTGTTACATTTGCTTCCTTGTTACTTATGCCAATTTCTTCAGACAGCTTGAATTTCTCCTCAGAAAATGGATTTTTCTTTTTCTGTTGTATTGTTCAGGTTGCAAATTTTCCAAAATTTTATGCTCTGCTTCCCTTTTAAATATAAATTTAAATTCCAGATAATCTCTTTGTGAATGAATGAAACTGAATGCTTTTAAGAGCACCCAAGGCACCTCTTGAAAGCTTTGCTGCTTAGAAAATTCTTCGGTAAGATACCCTAAATCATCACTTTCAAGTTCAAAGTTTCACAGATTTCTAGGGCAGGGGCACAATGCCCCCAGTCTCTTTGCTAAAACGTAGCAAGAGTCACCATTATTCTAGCTCCTAACAAGTTTCTCATCTCCATCTGAGACCATCTCAGTTTGGACTTCAATGTTCATATCACTATCAGCGTTTTGGTCAAAGTCATTAAGCAAATCTCTACAAAGTTCCAAACTTTCCCACATTGTCCTGTCTTCTTCTGAGACCTCCAAACTTTTAAAACTTCTTTCTGTTACCCAGTTCCAAAGTCACTTCCACATTTTATCTTTATAGCAGCACCCCACTCTCTGTGGCACCAATTTGCTGTATTAGTCTAATTTCATACTGTGAAAGAGAACTTCCCAAGGGCTGGGTAATTTATAAAGGAAACTGGTTTAATGGACTCACAGTTCTGCGTGGCTACAGAGGCCTCAGGAAACTTACGATCATGGCATAAGCCACCTTCTTCACAAGGCAGCAGACAGAATTGCAAAGCAAAGGGTAAAGAGCCCCTCATAAAACCATCGTATCTCATGGGAACTTAGTAAGAACTTATTCACTATCATGAGAACAGCATGGGAAAAAAACATCCCCATGATTCCATTACCTCCACCTGGTCTCGCCCTTGAAACGTGGGGATGATGGAGGTTACAATTCAAGATGAGATTTGGGTGGGGACACAAATCCTAACCATATCAATAGAGAACCCAGAAAACACACACACACACACACACACACACACACACACACACACACACACATATCTATAAGCCACAGATCTTTCACAAGGTTGAGAAAAATAAGCAATGGGAAATGGTTTTCCTATTTTTAAAAAATGGTGCTAGGAAAACTGGCTACCCATAGGCAGAAGAATGAAACTACACTCAGACCTTTCACCATGTACAAAAATTAACTTGTCTGGTCATGGTGGTTCACACCTATAGTCCCAGCACTTTGGGAGGCCAAGCCAGGAGGAACACTTGAGACCAGTAGTTTCAAACCAGCCTGAGTAACATCATGAAATTCCATCTCTACAAATAATACAAAAATCAGCCAAGTGTGGTGGTGTATACCTATAATCCCCAGCTACTTTGGAGACTGAGGTGGGAGGATCACTTGAGCCCAGGAGGCTGAGGTTGCAGTGAGCATGATCATGCCACTGCACTCCAGCAGGGGTGACAGAGTGATACCTTATTTCAAAAAAAAAAAAAAAGAAAATGTTACATCAAGATTGATTCAAGCTTAAATGTAAGACCTCAAGCTAAAATAAAACCTAGAAAATACCCTTCTGGATATCAGCCTAGACAGAATTTATGACTAAGTCCTCAAAAGCAATTGCAACAAAAATAAAAATAGACAAGTGGCACCTAATTCAACGAAAGCACTTCTATACAGCAAAAGAAACTATCAGCAGAGTAAAAAGACAACCTACAGAATGGGTTAATATATTTACAAACTATATATCCAACAAAGGACTAATATCCGGAATCTATAAGCAACTTCAACAAATAAACATGCAAAAAAAAAAATTAACAATTGGGCAAAGAACATGAACAGACACTTTTCAAAAGAAGACATACAAGTAGGCATACAAGATCTTTGCTTGTCAGATACAATTTCAAATTTCAGAATCACCTTCTCTGAAGGCAATATTGCCAGTTTTCTTTTTCTATCCATTAACCTTCCAAGACAGTGTACCCAGTTTTATCTTTTTCTAACATATATTTGGTCCTGTCACTTCTCTGTTTAAAACTCTTCAAGATCTACTCTGTGACTGTAGGGAAAATCTAAACTTCACAGAGTAGCATTCATTTCTCTCCAAAATTGATAACAAATCTACTCTTCCAATTTTGTTTCTTACTTTTCCCATGAACCTATGTCCCTCACACCTCCTACGTCTCTGTGACTCTACCTTTACTCAGATTACTTTCTTTTCTTTGTATGCCCCTCTCTTGTTCTTAGTTTGTCTTCAGGTTACTTGATTTTCCATTTTATTTGATTTTTCTAGCTTAGCTTTAAATTATGTGCTCAAACATTACCTCCCAATAAGTCTTTTCTCTTTTTTGAGACAGAGTCTCACTGTCGCCCAGGCTGGAGTGCAATGGTGAGATCTCGGCTCACTGCAACCTCCGCCTCCTGGGTTCAAGTGATTCTCCTGCCTCAGCCTCCCGAGCAGCTGGGATTACAGGCACACACCACCATGCCCGGCTAATTTTTGTATTTTTAGCAGAGACGGGGTTTCACCATGTTGGTCAGGCTGGTCTTGAACTTCTGACCTCGTGATCCACCCACCTCGGCCTCCCATAGTGCTGGGATTACAGGCAAGAACCACCACGCCCAGCCATTTTTTTTTTTAATAATTAGTAGCCAAAAATAATATAACCCCAACCTAATCATGCACCTTCATTTGAATTTTTCAAACATTTCAACTGCAGTATGTATTTAGGCTTCCCATTTGGGGTTCTCACGGTGCTTGGTAAATGTGCTTTTCACATTTCTAGTGCTCTATAATGTGTAATAAAAGCATAAAGCATGGCGGAAACCTTCAAAAAATTAGCATCAGATGTAATGAGAGTGGAAATTAATGAAACACATAATAATGACCTATTAAAATCTATTCAGCAAATGATCAGTTTGGAGTTGGTGAGGTTTTATCAAGTTATCAAGCGGGATTTCAATGTAAGCCAAGTAAAATGGAAAAACATTTTTCTCCAGTTACCATTAGTAAGTACGGCAAAGGAAAAAAAATAGTTTATTATATGATCTTTCACAATTTTTTTTTTTTTGAGGGGGAGTTTCGCTCTTGTTGCCCAGGCTGGAGTGCAGTGGCACAATCTCGGCTCACTGCAACCTCTGCCTCCCAGGTTCTAGCAATTCTCCTGCCTCAGCCTCCTGAGTAGCTGGGATTACAGACACAGACCACCACACCCACCTAATTTTTGCATTTTTAGTAGCGACCAGGTTTCACTATGTTGGCCAGGGTGGTCTCGAACTCCTGACCTAATCCCAAAGTGCTGGGATTACAGGGATGAGCCACCACACTCGACCGATTTGTCCATTTTTATCTTTCATAAATGATAGCATTATAAATTTAAAGTCTCACTAGATGGAGAAATATGTGCAGAAATTGAAGGTAGAAACTGTATGGTTTCTTGACAGATAAAAACTATAACTTAGAAATTTGTTTTTCAGCTAAATCTCTGATATTTTTATAATTTTCTCTTTCTTCCAAAGTAGAATAATTGGGCTCTCTTTAACAAATTTCAATCTAACCAGGATTTTACAATTAATCAGTTTGTCATGGCTTTTTCCATTTGTCCAATAGTAACTTGTAAAAGCCTTTCCATGGAAGGCCTGTAAAACCCTGAGTGTCTTAACTTTTATCGGACAATCCAGAAAAAATCATATTTGGGAACACCGATAATGAATTGGCAGACAAATAGCTGAGAAAGACATTTTTTCTTTTAAAAAATGATCAGAATTAAAAAAAAAAGAAAAGAAAAGAGGAATGTGGGGAAGTATTTAAATGAACACATATAATAGAATTTAGTTTCCCTTAGCACAGCTCTGATTGTTTAGCTTCTTTCAGGAATGGTAAAAATGAATACTAATGAGTTTTAACTTTACAAGCCAGCATTAATTTAGACAAATGTTGAATATATTGCTCTATTCTTTGATTATTTTGTTTGATAATTTTTCTTTAATTATGAATGCATAATTAATAATTTAATTATCCATATTAGTTTCCCCGTGTACTTTCAACTATAGCTTTCGGCAAAACTAACTTCAAAAAAAAGGAGAGACTGGCTTCCCAGCTTCAGGGAATTTCTGTCATGAGAGTCAAGGAAGCTTGGTTACCACACTCTTGAGTCACGCAGGCAATATCCCCTTCATCTATCCTTTCATATTTTGGGCCGACTCTTCAAAATATGAAACTCTGGAGATGAAACATTGAGGCAAAAAAAAGGTTTGTAGTCCTTGAGATTCAATATCCGCACATTTCCATCTCTCTCAGTGCCTCCTTTCATTGATGTCAGAGTATCGGCTTAATTTGCAGAGCTGAGGACATCATTAACTGCAGCTTCAGATAAAGCATTTCAAAAAAATGTTCTAAAGCAGAAAACTTATAACACTCTGAATACTTGAAACTTTTAACTTTTCCCATCATTATTCCAAAGTTAAAAGTCAAAAGTGAAGTCAAACTTAAAAAATAAAAGTTTGTTCATAGAACATCATTTCCCTCAAATACCTCCTTAATTATTATAAGTTGCATCATTCATTGGGCAGGATGCCATTAGAAAAATATTTGGGGAATTTGTTTGCACCATCTATTAAACTTGAGGCTTACAAGCACATTTTATTTCTGAGCCTGTGTTCTAAACTCATATAAACTCGTAATTGTGTATATGATGATGAATTCCATTATATTGCAGGCACTTGCTTATATAATACTCACTCAGTGGAGTATTGCAGTTTTCTTATTGATAATAAAAATATTAATTATTGGCTGGGCACGGTGGCTCACACTTGTAATCCCAGCACTTTGGGAGGCTGAGGCGGGCGGATCATGAGGTCAGGAGTTCGAGACTAGCATGACCAACATGGTGAAACCTTGTCTCTACTAAAAATACAAAAAATTAGCCAGGCATGGTGGTGGGCACCTGTAATCCCAGCTACTTGGGAGGCTGAGGCAGGAGAATCGCTTGAACCTGGGAGGCGGAGGTTGCCGTGAGCTGAGATCATGCCATTGCACTCCAGCCTAGGTGACAAGAGCAAGACTCCATCTCAAAAAAAAGTTAATTATTATATATTCAAATTTAAATCTGTCCATTTATTTCAATGCTCAGTGTTACTACCTTGTTCAGGTAATCAGCATTTCTTGGGCACAAAGCTTCCCAAGTCTTGGGAATCTATTATATGTTATCTGTCCTGAATTCAGAGTGAATTCCTACAATACAAATTTAATTATGTCATCCCCTTGCTTAAAACTCTCTGACACCTACCTGTTGCTAGGATACTCTCCAAACTCATTAAAAAGGCCAAATCCTTAATGAGATGCTCCCATTATAAATGCCTTTAGGACAAGGACTGTCATTCGACCAGTGTTATATCTAGTGTCTAGCAAGGTGTCTGGTAATCCTAAGTACATGCTTAGGATGCAGTGAACATTTGTGGAATAACTGTTGAATGAGTCATGATAGTAAGGTCATTTCATTTCCTAAATTTATAAGTATACTGTCTTCCATTATTAAAAAAAAAAAACCTCTGGCAACTTAATTATATCTGTCTCTTCAAATCTACATTTTTTCCAATGAAGGTTTTTCTTTGCTTTCTTATATACTAACTCCTTTGAATTTATTAAGGTGTTTTCTCTGTTGCATTTTTTCTACCTATATATTCTATGGCATTTTATTACTTTTCTGAATATTTTAACATACATAACTTAGTAAAGTCCAAAGTTAACAGTTTAAATATCAAACAATATAAAGATGCAAAAACACCTATTATCTCCCTGGACCTGATTTATATACTTTTGTTGTTCCATATTTTGGATTTATCTTGTTTGTTTTTAATACCACAAATTTGATATTATGCTTATGGGTTAAACAATCAATATTAGTTTAAATTTACATGTAGTTACAAAATTCTATACTTGGTATCTCATCTTGTATATTAATTGTGAAATTATATTATTTCCTCCCTGAAGTACACTAATTAACAATCTCCTTAATAAAGTTCTGTTGGGATAAAAATCTGTCAGTTATTATATCTATAAAAATGCATATTTTGGCCTTTTGTGGAAAGATATTCATAGTGGAAAAATAATTTGAGATTGGCAGCTTTTCTTCTTAGCTCATTGAAAATATTAATCAACTATCTTCTGGATTCCATGGTTGCAGTTAAGAAAAACATCAGTTAAACTGGCATTTGGTTGAGGGAGAGCTTCCTTTGTTCTTGGTTGCTTTTAGCATTTCTTATTTTTTTATTTTTTATTTTTTTTTTACATTTTCAACAAATTAAATGTAATTATTTTCTATTTTGTGATTATTTCAATATTTAACGTCTTTGTTGGTTTGTTTCTCTTTCTTGCAGTTACTGCTGGCTCTTGTTCATTCTACATTCTATTCCTATGTTTTTCAGTTATTTTTTGTGGTCTCAAATTCCTTGGAATTTCATTTGGGGCAATTCTTTGATGACTGGGTTAAAAAGGTAGTCTTCTCCAAAACAGATTTGTATTTGAATTTGCCAAATACTTGAGGGCATCCAAAATCTCAGATCCCTTTTTCACCTTAAGGAGTTTCAGGTTACATAATAGGCCAATACAGTGTTTCCTTAGAAATTCAGATTATGCGTTCAGATTTCAATGGACAATTTTTTTCCTTATTTCCTTTTTCCCCAGACCCAGGGTCAAAGTAGTCATTATCTTTTTCCTATATGTATTAGTCCATTTTCGTGCTGCTGACAAAGACATATCCTTACAGTTCTACATGACTGAGGAGACCTCACAATCATGGCAGAAGGCAAAGAGGAGCAATTCACATCTTACATGGATGGTAGCGGGCAAAGAGAGAGCTTGTGCAGACAAACTCCCATTTTTAAAGCCTTCAGATCTTGTGAGACCCATTCACTCTCATGAGAACAGCACAAGAAAGACCTGCACCCATGATTCAGTCATCTCCCACTGGGCCCGTCCCACAACACGTGGGAATTACGGGAGCTACAAAGTGAGATTTGGGCGGGGACGCAAAACCAAACCATATCACTATATGTTTAGTTTGTTTCTGGTTCGTATTTTGGAAGCACTGTGTTGCATGGAATCTCCTGTTAGATTTTACACTCACCTTTGTCTCTCTGTCCTACGACATCATTAATAAGAATTTCATTCGTAACTAGAGTTTGTAAGAACCCCAAGGTCAAAAACCCACCTCAGGACAAGCTTCTTTATCTGAACTTATTTTACTTGGTTTTAAGGCCTCTGAATATTTATTTTAATTTTTTTTTTAGTCCAGCAGAAGTTTTAGTATGACTTGTTTTAATACATTTTAACATTTTTTATTGCTTTTACCAGGTTTATTCAGGTTATCTGTTTAGTTATACAGCAGGAAACAAAATTTTCTTTTTTATTCATTCCTGTCTAGATTTTATACCATTATTTTGAAGTTTCAAAATCAATACTTTCTTTAGATAATGAACATTTTTTAAAAATCCAGATTTCTTTTTTAAAAATCTAGAATTTCTCTCTATACTTCTATAGCTGACCAAAAAAATCCTTCCATCTTGATTTCTTGGGCTTTCACCCTGTGACTCTCTCATTACCTTTTATAATTATAACTCATACTTCTCAGCCTTTTTTTTTTTTTAACAAAATCATCTTCTGCCTATTCCTTCAGTTTTGTTGTTCTCAGTTGTGAGAATTAATTTTGTGGGTCAGCTTGGCTGAGCTATAGTGCCTAGTTGCTTGGTGAAGCACCAGTCAAGATGTTGTTGTGAAGATTTTCTGTTTTAGATGTGATTAACATTTACATTTGTGGAATTCGAATGAAGCAGATTACCCTCCATAATGTCTGTGGGCCTCATACAATCAGTTGAAGGCCTTAATGGAAAACTCTGAGGTTCTTAGAAGAGGAGAGAGTTCAGCTTCCAGATTGCATTTAGACTCAAGCCTGCAACATAAACTCCTGCTGGAATTTTCAACCTGCTGTTCGACTTCGAAAAAACAAAGAGTAATTTTAAGGAATTGGCTTGAGCAATTGTGGGAGCTAGCTAGTTTCGTGTGTGCGTGCGTGTGTGTGTGTGTGTGTGTTTTCCCCTGTATATGTGAATTTCCAGCCTCCAGAACTGTGTGACAATAAATTTCTGTTGTTTAAGCCGTTCTGTTTCTAGTACTTTGTTACAGCAACCCTAGAAAACTAATAGAGTCCATCCCTAGTTCCCTTCTTTTCTTTCATTATCCAGTCTTTTAAGAACTTGTTTGGTCTCAAGCCTTATGACATGTGAGTTTATTATACTATGCCTAACATTGTCAACAAATACATCTGTTTCACCTTCTATTTATTTCAATGCTTATTTAGCATTTGTACCTACATGACTGAGCAACATGTACCTGAAAAAAATATTCCTCACACTCATCATTTTCTTATATAATCCATCTTGATTAAACACCTTCTATTTATTCTTGGCATCAGGTTCACACTAAATATTTCCCTCTGCATCTACTGTGTTTAACTGATCCAGACAAATCTCACAATTCTACATCCATTCCTCTTGCCATTCTTAATTTATGCCCTCAATGTATCCTTTTTATAATATCTCAAATAGGGAAGGGGCATATGATAGCATCATTTAGCAGTACATTTCAATCTCAGGTTCCAGGGGAATTACTTAAACTTCCTTGAGTCTCTTTCTTCACTGATACACGTAATTTGGTAAAATTCAGTTCTGATCATTTCAATTTTCCTAATAATTAAAATTAATCTTTAAAAAAATTCTAAATCTCTATGAAAATGTACAAATGTTTTAAATTACCAAAATCTTTTCTTTTCAAAATTGTTAACTCCTGTTTATTCCTCTAGACTCCCTACTTTTGGCTTATGTTCTGTGTACTACTAACATACAGCTATTTCTATTTTCTGAAAAACAAAAGCCCCTGTATTTTATGTCTTTTTTTCTTTTCTTTTGAGACAGAGTTTTGCTCTTGTTGCCTAGGCTGGAGTGCAATGGCACGATCTCGGGTCAATGCAACTTCCGCCTCCCGGGTTCAAGCAATTCTCCTGCCTCAGCCTCTCTAGTAGCTGGGATTACAGGTTTGTGCCACGATGCCCGACTAATTTTCTATTTTTAGTAGAGACGGGGGTCTCTCCATGTTGGTCAGGCTGGTCTTGAACTCCCGACCTCAGGTGATCCACATGCCCCGGCTTCCCAAAATGCTGGGAATACAGGCTGAGTCACCATGCCCAGCCTATTTTATGTCTTTATGTATTTTCTCTGCTCACATTGTCTCTCTGCTCCCTGGCAAAACTCTTGTTACTTTTTAAGGTCAAAGACAGAGATCTTTTCTTTTGGGAAGTAGCTCATGAATGGCTGTACATACTCGCTTTCACTGTTCTGTGTAAGCAATGGCCCGTGTCTGTAAGAACACACATCTTAATGTGCTGTAATTATGTTTGTACATGTGTTATCTTATTAGAAAATGGAAATTTCTAGAGTGTAAGAATAGTGTCATTTTCATCTGGATTCCAAAAAGTGTGGGCATTGTTTGCTGTGGTTCAGTCAGTAATTCCTCATGGCATTAGTGAATAACAACATTTGGCATTCTTTCAGAGCATGTGATTACATACAAACTAGATGACTCAGGTTAGGTCCTACCGAATGAAAAGTCTTGTGGAGGACACAAGACTTTTGGGTAAAGTATGGTTTGCTGTTATTTCTTGCTAAGGATAACATATTTTTGTAAGACTCTAAGTGAAATTTAAATCATATCCTTTGTGTGACGATTACTTACAAATCAAGCCATCGATATAAACATAGTTCTGTGTTAGCTATGATTAAAAACATTTACTCCTCAATGATATCGAGAAAATAACTAGGGATTTCTCAATCTACTGGTATGTATATATGTCCCACAAGCATATACAGTAATAACTAATAACTTATTGTTCAGGCTTGCTGACACAGAAATGATTTTTTTACATGATGACCTATGGTTGGAATCATTATGTCTTGATTTTAAAATTTATTATAATTCTTCGCTTCCTAGTGAAGGAATTCTTTCTTACAACTGCAAAGCATAGCAACCTGAGCAACACTGTTCCGCTGTCAACTAAATGTAAACCTTAAATAATTCACATCACTTGTAGTTGCCTAATTTATAAAATGAGAATAACAATGTTTACATACCCTGCATCCCAAGTTAGTTGTGAAGCATAATTAGACAGTCAATATTGTTGAAACAGCAGAAATGTGAGAAAACACTTTAAAACGTTACAAGTATCTTATAAGACTGTGTTTTTCCCTCCAAGGGGAGCATGTTGTGCTTTCCTTTGATTATTTCTAAATAAGAAATCTTTTTTATTATCATTGTTTTGACCACAACATGTCCTATAAGCAGGTATGAAGGTTGAAGACAGGAACTGAAATCCATCAAAATCTGTCTTCTTTAATTTTACAGACAGTCATATGATATTAAATTAACAGGTGAATTTCAAAATTCTATTGTTTTTGTGCTGACGTTTATAATAATGAGAAGATACTTTTATGGAACTGCTATGAAGATGTGTTCACAAAGGTCTAAAATAATGTGTTATACCTTAGGTGAGTCCCCAGATAAATTATTCTTATGTTAAATAGTTGTCTAACACCTTTTGCCTTGTAGACTGTTCTGCATGTCAAATCAAACCTTTCTTCCCAAAGCGTAGAGTTGTTCCAGGTAAAAAGATCCATTCTAGAATCGAGATATTTTCTACTGCCTGGTAACACAGGTGTAGGAAGTTTCCCTGAAGCTTGCTAAATGCTGTTATCTTCAATTACTCTCCAGTTATTAGAGTTTCTTAAGAAAACTTGATACTTTCTTATTCTACAAGTACCTGAACCAGCACCAGAGTCATAGATGGACAGTGTCAATGTATTTTCTTCTTCTTGGTTGGACTCCATTTGGTCAGTGTGAGCCGTCAGCTTAGATATAATTCCTTCTGCATTTCTGCACATGTGGAGCAGAAGTCAAGTCCCTGGGTACATTTCATACCTGCCAGTTTGGCCTTGATGTTTTAAGGAGGAGTTTTCTTTTCTGCCAAGAGGAGGAATTAGGATGGTAAAGATCATCATGGTTCCTACATTGCTTATTCTTCACAATATTTCAATTGGCTCTAAAAGAAATCATATCTATCATGTGGTTGGTAGAACAATGCTCACTTACCGTACAATTTTGTTAACAAACAGCTTTGAAACATCTCCTCATTCACAGTCAGGCCACTAATTAGTTACTAGCTGAATTTGGCTGAGATTGATCTTTTGTCTATATTCATTGCTCGGATTACAAAGAAAATGATGATTTGAAATGCAGTATTTAGAACTTGGAATCAAATACTAACTGAAAAATTCCTTTTGTGTATTTTCAACTAACCATGATGTTGAATCCATTGATCTCTTGTTTTTAATGTAATTGTTTACACAGCATATTTATAGTCACAATCATTTCTACTTTCAATTTATTTTTTAAATTATGAAAAAAATACATATATTTTGGTTAGGAATTCATGCTGAGGGCTTGCTAATCCTTTACTACTACCTATAAGTACAGTCAAAGATATGCTTGTAAAGGTGAATTCAGAAAACTTATTGAAGATTTTACCTCCTAAGCAAGGACCTTAGATTTTAATAAGATTAAATAATGTAAAAATAATGTAAAAGCATCAAGGATGTTCGTTGAAAGTGCAAATTGAAAAATAAGGGCTTTAAAAAAAGAGTTGATAATGGGTATGTACATATTGAGTTAATTGAATTGCTTGCACACGATCAATTTCACAAACATGCTGGCAAGACAAACAAGTGCTTTATAGTATATGAAGGGAGCGGTTCAAGTGGTCATGGCAGGCATATTTAGCACCTAGTGGAGCCTTGGACACAGTCTGGGATTTCTTCAATTTTATGGGTCCCAAATCAATGCAGAAACTGTAAACTGGTTGAGAATCCCTATGGATGTTAGCAAGTCTTGACAGACGTGAGGAGTTCCTTAAGAGAGGTTGGTATATATATCACTATTTTTTTTAAATATTAACTAGTATAATTTCTGGTGCCACTTAAATAGACAACTATGTTGAAAATAAATTATATATATACATTTAGTAGATTTTGATGCTCAGAGAAGTTTTCAAATCGTGAAGAAAATAAAATGATTAGATAATATTTTGAATGAAAACAATACTACGTAAATTTTGAACCAGTGTTATGCTATATTAAAATTACAATATTATGAATTAGATATGACTTTTTCTCAATTATTTATGAACTATTAACTGCTGTTGTCAAAAGCATGTGAGTATGTGTGTGTGTGTGTGTGTGTGTGTGTGTATTTACAGTGAATGTGCTATACTTTCAGTACAAAAGGCATGGTGATATTTTCCGATAAAAGTACTCAGAATTCTTTTTCCAGAAGATATAAAGCTGTAATCCTAAAGAACTGATAATGTGATATTGTAGATGACCTCACTGCCAATATGAAAAATATGAGTAATCTGTATTTTTAAAATATATTCGTACTTACTTTTTCTCCATTATTTATGTGTAGCTCATGGATCCAGAGGTATATCAAATGTAAAATGAATCCTGTAATCCTGTCTAATGTTCGATGATTACTTTTTTTGTTGGGGGAGGTGGGGGGATAGAGTCTCACTCTGACACCAGGCTGGAGTACAGTATTGGGATCTTGGCTCACTGAAATTTCCACCTCCTGGGATCAAGTGATTCTCCTGCCTCCGGCTCCCGAGTAGCTGGGAAAACTGGCACACGCCACCATGCCCAGCTAATTTTTGTATTTTTAGTAGAGACGGGGTTTCACCCCCTTGGCCAGGACACTCTCGATCTCTTGACCTCATGATCCATCTGCATTGGCCTCCCAAAGTCCTGGGATTACAGGCATGAGCCACCATGCCCAGCCTATGTTCAATCATTTCATAACAAATACACAAATAGAAAAATATGTATTTAATAACCATTTCTACCACAAACCTGAACATATCCTGAATCTTAAATTTTATTCATGCTTTGCTAATTTGTATTAATTTGCATGACTACTATTTGTTTGTATCTTCAAATACTGCTACATTTTTGTAAATTATATTCTTCATATTTTAAATATGTATTCATTATATCCCATCCCCAGTGTCTTCTTGTAAATAAGATATTTCAATGTGACTCTTTCACTTTATTGTTTTATATTAACAAATCCAGCCAGAAAAAATTTCTTTATTTTTCAATCTGCTCGATAACATGAAGAAATGCCTTATAAGGTAAGATTGCCAGAAGATAGTGATCTTAATGAGTTGCTATTTTCAAGGAGCAGTAATAATCATTAGACACAGCTTCCCTGGAAACCCAAGGAAACGACATTCACCTGGAAAATAACACAGTTCAATTATAAACAAAGTTTCTGAATGGAAAAGCATTAATTTCCCATTTTCATACTTTCCATTGCCATTTTGAACTCATCATCACTTTATTGCTGCTCTAGCTTTGCCAAGTTACCATATCCAAACCCGTTTTCACAAGCAGCAGAAACATCTGTGAAAACAGGAACTAAGAGTCCCCTAGGAGAGATCTTGTTGTATCATTATAATTTCAATACAAACTACATGACGAGGCAATATTAGTACCATGATAGAAGATGCTACATTCCTTTGATTAAAAAGATGACATAAAATAAATGTAGGAAACATGGGGTCTTGATGGATATATTAAAGCAGTGAAAAAGTTACTAAACTTATTTTTAATGTTTTAATGTGGACAATTTGAACAATCTACATTTAAAATAAGTCTGTATGCATACACCAAGCTAAAACAGAGTTTAAGCAAATCAATACAGACTCCAAATGCATGTTTTTCTCATCACTTAAAATATTATTTGCTTTCTCTTGATTCTGGTAACCAAAGCGTATCTGGGAATCTTTATTGATTTTAAGTTTTATTTTAAGTTGCTTTCTCTAAAAGAGTCTTAAGAGAGACTCATTTTGATAGTAAGTTTTCTGGGAACGAAGCCACACAGAATTACCCTCGTGCATATCACACTGTGCTCATAGCACAGACAAAATATTCAGATGGTTATTTATATAGCATGCAACAGTTGGACATTTAGGAGAATCTATGCATGGATTTACCTTACTTTTTTAGGACATAGTTGGCATTGTACAAATATAGCTGCAATGCAGAACAAATGGATGAAATTAATACCTGCTTATAGGAAAGCAATAGAAAACCTATATCTTGACCCACTCAAATTTAGCAGAAACTGAGTGCGATAAATTCTCATCCTAACAGACACAACCTACTCCCTAACCTCAGTGATGCAATGCAGCTTTCCATGGTCATGGATAGGAAGAATCAATATCGTGAAAATGGCCATACTGCCCAAGGTTATTTATAGATTCAGTGCCATCCCCATCAAGCTACCAATGGCTTTCTTCACAGAATTGGAAAAAACTACTTTAAAGTTCATATGGAACCAAAAAAGAGCCCGCATCACCAAGTCAGTCCTAAGCCAAAAGAACAAAGCTGGAGGCATCACGCTACCTGACTTCAAACTATACTACAAGGCTACAGTAACCAAAACAGCATGGTACTGGTACCAAAACAGAGATATAGACCAATGGAACAGAACAGAGCCCTCAGAAATAATGCCGTATATCTACAACTATCTGATCTTTGACAGACCTGAGAAAAACAAGCAATGGGGAAAGGATTCCCTACTTAATGAATGGTGCTGGGAAAACTGGCTAGCCATATGTAGAAAGCTGAAACTGGATGCCTTCCTTACACCTTATACAAAAATCAATTCAAGATGGATTAAAGACTTAAACGTTAGACCTAAAACCATAAAAACCCTAGAAGAAAACCTAGGCAATACCATTCAGGACATAGGCACGGGCAAGGACTTCATGTCTAAAACACCAAAAGCAATGGCAACAAAAGCCAAAATTGACAAATGGGATCTAATTAAACTAAAGAGCTTCTGCACAGCAAGAGAAACTACCATCATACTGAACAGGCAACCTACAAAATGGGAGAAAATTTTTGCAACCTACTCATCTGACAAAGGGCTAATATCCAGAATCTACAGTGAACTCCAACAAATTTACAAGATAAAAACAAACAACCCCATCAAAAAGTGGGCAAAGGATGTGAACAGACACTTCTCAAAAGAAGACATTTATGCAGCCAAAAGACACATGAAAAAATGCTCATCATCACTGGCCATCAGAGAAATGCAAATCAAAACCACAATGAGATACCATCTCACACCAGTTAGAATGGTGATCATTAAAAAGTCAGGAAACAACAGGTGCTGGAGAGGATGTGGAGAAATAGGAACACTTTTACACTGTTGGTGGGACTGGAAACTAGTTAAACCATTGTGGAAGTCAGTGTGGCGATTCCTCAGGGATCTAGAACTAGAAATACCATTTGACCCAGCCATCCCATTACTGGGTATATACCCAGAGGACTATAAATCATGCTGCTATAAAGACACATGCACACGTATGTTTATTGTGGCACTATTCACAATAGCAAAGACTTGGAACCAAGCCAAATGTCCAACAATGATAGACTGGATTAAGAAAATGTGGCACATATACACCATGGAATACTATGCAGCCATAAAAAATGATGAGTTCATGTCCTTTGTAGGGACATGGATGAAATTGGAAATCATCATTCTCAGTAAACTATCACAAGGACAAAAAACCAAACACCGCATGTTCTCACTCATAGATGGGAACTGAACAATGAGAACACATGGACACAGGAAGGGGAACATCACACTCCAGGGCCTGTTGTGGGATGGGGGGAAGTGGGAGGGATAGCATTAGGAGATATACCTAATGCTAAATGACGAGTTAATGGGTGCAGCACACCAGCATGGCACATGTATACATATGTAACTAACCTGCACTTTGTGCACATGTACCCTAAAACTTAAAGTATAATAATAAAAAAAAGGAAAAAAATAAAAAATCAAAACACTGATCTTGAGATGGCACATCACTTCTCATTTTACAAAAGGTTTACAAAAAGTCTGAAAAACACTAATTTTAATATCATTTTTTCTTTCCAAAGCTTGCTTGGATGCATCCTGTAGAATTAAATTGTATATTCAAAGTTTAAATTCTAGTGGAAAAGCAAATAAATAATTAGAAAATAGATATCAGTTTGATGCTTGAGCTTATTAAATTGTTAAGAGATGTCTGGTGGCTTCATTCAATTTTAAGTTCTGTGTGTAATGTGTCAAAGAAAAATCCATTGGACAAATTAAGCAGGCAAGAAAGATTTTATTCAAGACTATTGCAGTAGGGACAGAGATTAAACTCAAGTCTGCAGAAACAAAACATGAGTTTTTTAAACCACTGGGTGAACTAGTGAAAATGTACTGAAGCATGTTGGACTTCTGGCAACGTGAGAGTCCTCCAGTGTTTGCTAATTGAAGTTAGGCTCCTACTTTCTCACAGAAACTGGGAGATAAGGGCATTATTTATTTTTTTTCGAGGATTACATTTCAAAGAATGGCTCCCTGGTCCTTGAGAAAGATATTACTGGTTGTAAAACTAGCAAAAAGGCTGGGAAAAGATTTAATTCTCAAAGCGGTGAGGAAAGAATTTACCTTTGAAAGATTTCTAAAATTTTCTAAGAAAAAAGGTCCAGGCCTAGTGTCACGAAGAAATATGTTTAAAGTTTAGTCAATCTGAGGGAAACATTAAAACCATCTTGGTCGGATCACAAGGTCAAGAGATCAAGACCATCCTGACCAGCATTGTAAAACCCTGTCTCCACTAAAAATTCAAAAAAATGAGTCAGGCATGGTGGCACGTGCCTGTAGTCCCAGCTACTCAGGAGGCTGAGGTAGGAGAATCACTTGAACCCGGGAGGCGGAGGTTGCAGTGAGCCAAGATCGCACCACTGCACTCCAGCCTGGTGACAGAGCAAGACTCCATCAAAAAAACAAAAACAAAACCAAAAAAACATAAAACCATCTTGGTCTAATGTTAAATACAGAAATTGAAATGTATTCTCCTTAGTATTTAGTGATAATTGAAAGGAATCTTGCACTATGCCCATTTTCACTTTTATGAAGAAAAAAACCACTTTTGGTCTCTGTAATAAAATATGTGTTATTGACTTTACTGGTACAAACAGTGGCCTGTTTACATAGTAGCACTTAGTTTACTTAAGCATAATAGGGGACTAATAACATTCCCACATGATTGGTTATAACTGAGATTACAAGAAACTACATGTAAAGTTGTTATCACAGGCCCAGGTCATAGATGCCCTGAAATAGAAAATAGTTATTACATGTCATTAATGAACATATAATCTCTAGATCCTATTTGAAATTATTATATGATTCAGTGATATAGATTATTATAATATTTTGGCACTGCTTTTTCTTGAAAGTATCTATTAAAACAACTTTTATATTCGGTATGTGTAACTTTACTTTGACTTGGGAAATATAAATTTTTACTTTGTTCTAAGCCCATAGTACCTGTCTCTTTATAGTAATTTTCCTCTAGGCCAAATGAGCCAAAGAGAATGACCAAAGCAGAGGGAAAGGCCATCTGAGAGGCTTTCATCCTTCCTTCTTCTTGGCTACCTGCTGGCTTCTGTTTGTTTCTCAATGGCTAGCAGCTATTGAGTTCTCTAGATGCCATTCTATCTTCCTAGCAATCTTTGGGCCTCAGGGTTATCTGCTGCTTTCCTTTTCTAACTGCAGCTCTGCTCTCTTTGTTTATCTTAGCTCTTCTCTCTGTCTTCTTGTTACTTGTTTTGCTTCTTCCAGTCTACTTGTGCAGTGGTTAAAACTTTGCTCCTTCCATAAAGTAGTTAAAACTCTAGCAGTCTTCTAATAGTATTATTTATTTCTTCCACCTGTGTAACTCTTTCTACTTATTTCATCTTGCTTCAATGCCAACAACTAAGTATCCTAGATAATTTCATATTCAGACCTCCTAAGAAATATAATATCACTTGGTCATTAACCATCAGGAGTACCCATTTTACACGAGTATATTTTGTTGAGAAGTTTTGACTTCATCTTGGCCCTGATTTCTGATACTCTCATTTCTGTCAAAGAGCAGATACTTGAGATCACTGGTCAAGAAACAAGTTATTCGAAGAGGTGGTCTGTGGAGATAGTAGACCCTTTTATGGAAATCTTCTCTATGACCATCCCAAAATAAAGAAAATGTGATTGACTAAAAAATCTATAGTTGATGCTATTAAGGAGTATAACGTGGGTAAAAATGTCAACTTCCCATGTACATTTCACATGTAGAAGTCATAGAGAATAGCACTTCCCATGAAGTGGCAAGTTTCTTTTTGCTTTTATGATTCCTAGTTTACTGTTGCTGTTGCTAATAAAGCTACCTGATTAGGGCAAGAATAATCAAATTCTTCTGGAAGCAATCTTTGCCATTCTGCTGGCAGATTTTCTGTGTTTTCACTCTTTCCTGATTTTTCTGAGGATCGTAATTGTAATAACTATCTGCCCACTAGTGCAAGGTACAGGAACAACCTCAGCATGCAACTGAGTGCTTACTGAAAGTTTAAATCCATATCAGTTTGCCATGTGAGCCACATTCCAAGTACATTCAAGTCTTACACCTCCCTGAAGTCTATTTCTGCATTTCTCCACTACATAGGATGCTTAAGGAGCATCAGCCAGTATCCGTGTTCAAAATGACCCTTCCCAAAGTCCACAAACTAATTTTCCAAAAAAAAGCCTGGATTACACAACTCTCTCTTTTCTCGGGGTGAATTCTCTGATCGCCCACAGTACTTCCCTTCCCTAAGTTTCCTGACCCCTTTTATTGAGACTTGTGTCTTCATTCCCTTACAGTGTTTAAATCTGGAAGTCTTTTTCGCCATTCTGAAAAAAGGCCTGCAGGTTCCTACTGAAAAGGAGTCACCGTTTATCCACCTTGATAGTCTTGTGCTCAGAAAATAGTAATGAAACTAAGAAACTGATTCTTTCTCTGCATCATATTTGTTCTAAAACTTGGTTTTTATGGTACTTAAATACAACTATTATACTAATTCACAAATGTTATTACAGGCAATGTTGCAAGTGCTCTGTGTTTGATTTTTTTGATTAGTAATCAAGATTAAAAAAGATAAAAGGTAGAAAGAGCAGAGACTTGGACTCAGATCTTCTGTTCCCAATAGGTATTCTCTTTCCATAAGAAGATAAAAGATATATTCTGGTGATATGTCTTCAAAACTGGTGAGCACAGGTAGGGTAGAGCAGTTATTTTCAGAAGCAGTCAGGGGTGATAGAAATTCCAAGTTTTCTAGGTATTATCTATGCAATATTTTCCCCAACATTTAAATAAAATATTGTAGCAGAAAAGTAACTTAATATCCATATATCCACCACCTAAGTATTGTCATTAATATTTTACCATATGTTATCATATATTGAAATCTACCTATGGAATATAGACAAGTTGTTGTCATTTTCTTTCCTCACTGTGGTAGTTTCCCAGTGAGAAAAATAAATGTAAATAAATATCACCTATCTCATAGAATTCTTTTGGCATGACCCAAGAGAGCGTTTATAACAGATTATCAAAATACTTACAATATGGCGAATCATAAAATTAATGAAAATGTTCTCTATGTGAGTAGTTCTCTTTCCATTCAAGGGAAAAGGATCTACTCTGAAAAATCTCCAAGTAGTTTCAAGTTAAATTTATCATCAGAGACCAAACTTTCCCTAAGAAAATATTTTGATGTGAGTAGCTCTAGATTTCTGTAAGATTCCTTGGGTTAACAAAAAACTCATTTTAACTTCCTGAGATCCTTTGAAGTAAACGTAGTGTAGTGGCTGTCTTCCAGTCATCAAGGATCCACCAACCCCAATATTGAATATTTAGACATTGTTTAGTCTGCAATGAATTTATGCAATTATTGCAGTACTATGTGTTTCTGGTCAGAATTGGCTGTTGGATACAGATTTTTGAAATTAGCATTTCATCAGGCCAGATGTTAATTCCCTTTGGCTTCTCATCCTAACTAATGGTACTTTATGCTATTTCCTTTCCTCAAGAGGCACCAAGAGATATCACATCCAAGAACATTTATTAAGGAAAACATTTACTTTTAAAGCTGTTGGTTGAAATTAGTCTAAATGTATTTGTAGGTATAAAAGCACAGCAAAGGTCTTTAAGTAGAGATAAGATTAAGGTACACTAAGGTACCATTGATTAGAGAAGTGTATTCTAAAACAAGAGTTTGTAAAGAAAGAAACGGGCTAAGGAAGCAAAAGAGACTAGGATAATGATTTACTTTCTTAGATAAAAGAGTATAATGTGGTTGCATGGATTGTTATGTAGACAGTAAAGGGAGGAAAGTTGCACGATTTGTCTTCAACTTTACAATTCTGATTTTGAGGGGAGACCTGAAAAGCAGAGATTAAAAGATTTTTTAAAAAGGCAATTTGAGACCATACTTGACACCACAGGTCTTGAAAGATATATCAGAAAATATGAGTCTCACCTCTAGAATTGAACTCTATGATCTTTGTTTTTCTAATCTCTAAAATTAAAATGTTGTTAAAACATTATCTCCAATTTAAATATTAGCTTTGCAACTAGATAAAGATTGATGCTTTAAATAGAACTATATCAGAAGACTTTGATTAATAGAAAAGCATACTATTTTCTCCTATTTTATAGGTGATATGTGAAAAAAATTGAATTAGATGTGGAAAAACCAATATAGCAAGGATTTAGAGAAACAGGTATTATTATGCAATTTTCATTAACATGTACATTTGTATAATTTTTGGCAGAATTTCGATGTTTGTAATAAGTTGAAGAAGTTGCAGACATATATATGACAGGACTTATATACCTAAAGAAGGCAGGTTGGATGGGCCTTCTATGTGTGTTTTTTTGTCTGTTTATTTGCATAGAACACAACTGGAAGGATATATAGTAAGCAGTTAGCTTGGCTATTCTAGGAAAGCATAATAGGGAAATGATGATGGGAAACAGAAGAATGTTTATGTTCATCTGGGAAAACCCTTAGTTTTAAAGTTTTCTCTTGTTTTGAATTTTAATGTATTTAATAGAAATCCATTAAAGCTTTTTCCAGTCAGAGGTAACTTTAAGGCAAGTCAATCGTTAAAACTTCCCCTTTATCAAGATACTTTGTGAATTTCCATTAACATGATGGACTAAACCACAGTAGAAAAATTTCCACTTTTACTTTAAACATTATAATGGAACGCCTATAGATTCAACCTGTGTGAAAATTTACTTTCCAAGAAATACAGAGGATCACAGTCTTGGGGAATTTAAAATGAGTGTACTTAAAAATGTTCAAAAATATAAATAAAATAATAAAAATTATATAACATGAATGAGAATGGATGAATTTACTTTCAGAATGAATAAATAGCTAGTCATTGAAATTAAAAGAAAAATGGGTAAGAATAATAGTCAACTAGTTAGAACAAGACAGAGAATTAATGAATGGAGGATAAAAAAGAAAGTTATTAACTCTGCATCAGACCGGAATAAAAATGTGGAAAATGAAAACATTGGATTTGGGAGAACAGAATGAAATGATGTCACAATAGGAGAGAATGAAAGAAGTCAATATAAGAAGAGAAAATAACCTAAAAATTTCTATAATTAAATAAAGTCACATTCTCAATATCACAAAGAGAGTCTAAACAAAACAAAGCAAACAAACAAACAAACAAACAACAAATTCGTAACTACATACCACCTGGTAAGATTGCAGTGCATGTCCGATGATATATTTTTGACCTAGTGTGGGTGAAATATCTTTACTTCAATGATCTTTAGATTTAACTATATTAAAGTTAAGGATTTGTTTTTAACAAATAATCTAATAGTAGTTGATAAGCGGGGGAGAAAGAGTTTTCCTTTACAAAATTTGACAAGAGATTAACATTTAGAATACACAAAGAACTTGTGCACGACAACAAGAAGAGACCAAGAAAAAAAAAAAGGAAGGGCGGCAATATGGTCAAATTATATCAATAGTCAATCACATAAGATTAAAAGACTAAGATATGATAGAAATCAGAAAACAGCAAATTATGTAATAAAATATCTATTTGTGCCATTAAAACATTATTATTGGGAGGCTGTATAAATATAATATATACAGAGAAGAATATTCCTGGAGACTGCTGGCAAAGAATTGAATCTTAGAAACCATTCAGGAAAGTAATCTGGCAGAGTTTAAAGATATTCATATTTGTATATCCTATCAGACTATCACATTTGCTGGCATATTTCCCAGAGGGACTTTTTTTGCATAACAAAAAGGGACACTCATATATTGTAAATTTAGGTATTGTTTGTCCTCACAAGAGACTAGTAGAAAGTCACTGTCCATGATTAAGGAGATATGATTAGAAATATGTAGAGAAATTATGCTATGTATATATTATGCAGTAATTGAGTACAATAAAATGCAGCTAAATGGGCAGATCATCAAAACAAGTTTGAGTAAAAAGAAGTAAAAAAATAGAATAATATTTAGGTGACATATCTATTAAACGTAAACACCCACATATACACAATCCATGCATGCATATATAAGGAACTGTGTCAAACTTTATTAAAGAAAATATCTATGAGGGAGAGGGCTAGGGCAGTGGGAATCAGACAGGAGGAGAAAAGCATATATGAAATAAAATGATAAAACATGAATTTAAAAAAGATGATTTACTGTGAACTGATATTATGATTAACTCAATTCTGTGTGTTCCATAGATAAATGAGGAAAAACCTTGATCAATATCATAGAAGCCTCGAGAAATGGGGACAAAGAACTAAGGGCTAAGGAAAAGATAGTAAATGGACAACACAAAATTAGATGGCAGAGACTTCTATTTGTGACAATGACAGAGTACCAGACAGCAGATATACCTCCCAGCCTAAAACAACTAAGAAACTTCGGGAGAATGTTTGAAAAAAAAAATTATTTTCAGGCAGTGGACAGCAGGCAGCACAATACAGAGATCCCTGAGGGTTGAGAAACAAATAAGGTGAATTCTAAATTATCCGAACTTACTGATTGGAGAGTGTTTCCAGGTTGTGGTACTTGCCCCACAGTCACAGTAAATCTAAACAAAACCTGGCACATTTTCTGAATTGAGGAAAAAGAGATAAATACTTGGTAGGCTAAAGTGGCTAGAATTTTGAGGAGGATGTACCTGGGATTAGAAGGCTTAAAAGAAGGTGGGGGGACATTGGAGACATCTTTAATGAAGATCTCCTAAAATTTCCAGCTGCACATTAATAAACACGTATGTAAGGAAACTGCCTGAGGCTGGTAAAAGATCCAGTAGAAAGGAGAAGGCAGAACAATAAACAGGGTTTCCATAGCGCTGGAAATAGTCCAAGATTCAACAGCAGAGTGGAGAAATTTTGAAATACACAGGGCATTGGATTCAGTATTAAGAATTGTATTTCGTCAATGTGGGGACGCATTAGCCACAGACTAAAGCCTGCTCCAACACCACCTAACCAAGCTCAAAAGCAAGACTGGGGCAGGGAAGTGGGAGTATGCAAAATTTCTTCTCAGGGAATATATCTTCCTCCCAGAACAAAACTCTAATTAAAAGAACATGCACTCAAAAGAAAACAGCAACCAAACTTTTAAAATTAAAAATGACTGGCATCCAATAAACAATTATCTGGCATGAAAAAATATGTATTTTTAATAATGTGGAAAAATATAAATACCCCCAAATTACACAGATGACAGAATTTGTTAAATAATACATTAAATAGTCATAAATAAAAGTTCATATATTCATGAATGTAGAGAAAAGCATAAATACATTAAGGAGAAACAAGATATGTTTTTAAAAGACTCAAACTTCTGGAGATGAAAAACACAATGTCTGATAGGAAAAATACTGACTCCTAAGGGAGAATTATTTGCGGATTAGACATTATGGCAGGCAAGATTCTTGAACTTAAAGACATAGCAGCAGAAACTGTCTAAAATGAAAAATTAATAAGGCATCAGAGAACTATGAAATACTTCAATACACATGGAACTAATATACATGTAATTCAAGTGTCCAAAGAAAGGGGGTTGTAGAACATATATTTGAAAATTTAATGGCCAAAAATGTTTCAAGTTAAATAAAAATTTTACCAAAGTATAAAAAACTTCTAGCACATGAAAGATTCGTAAACTTTATCATGATACATCATAATGAAAACTGTTCAAAACAATAATGATGAGAGGTTTTAAAAAGCAACCAGAAAAAGAAGCATATTGTATAACGAAGCTTAGAAATAAGAATGACAGAATATATCTCATCAGAAGCGACACTGAAACAAAATGTTTAAAGAGCTAAAGATGAAAACTGTCAACCTAAAATTTTATTGCAGTAAAAGTTTAAAAATATCTGTGAAGAACAAAAAAGATACACTTTCAGACATAAAAATGCTGAATAAATTTATTACTAGCACAAGCCCTTTGTAAGAAATGTTGTAACCAAGTGAATAACAAAAGGAAACCTGTATCTTCACAAAGGAAGGAATATCACTAGAACTATTAACAATAAAAGTATATGATACATAACCTTATTTTTGAAATTTCTTTAAAAGATTAAGCAAAATAACTATGCATTATACAGATTTTAACCTGTATAGAAGGAAAATACATATGAAAATACCATTTTGAGAGAAGGTACATGTAAATTTACTGTTATAAGATTCTCATTTATAATGTGAAATTGGGAAATGATATAATGTTATTCTAACACAGAGTGTGCTAAGGTAAAGATGTATCCTGTAAACTTGGAAAGCAGTCACTTATTAATAAACAGGTATAGCTAATAAGTCAATAAAGATGATAAAATGAATCATTAAAAAAATCTAAAAGAAAAGAAGAGAGAAGGAGTAAAAAGAACAAATGAATGATTTATTTTCTCTTGGATATGTACCCAGTAATGAGATCACCTGATCAAATGGTATCTCGTTTTAAGTTATTTGAGAAATCTCCAGACTGGTTTCTGCAGTAGCTGAACTAATTTACATTCTCGCCAACAGTGTATTAGCATTTCCTTTTCTCTGCAGCCTCACCAGCATCTGTTGTTGTTGTTGTTGTTGTTGACTTTTTATTAACAGCCTTTCTGACTTATGTGAGATGGATCCCATTTTGTATCTAAAATATAAGGAAACATTTTTAAAAAAGAATAAATGAGACAAAATAAATACAAATAGCAAAATTAAATATCTAAACCCCAACATAGGAATAATAAATGTAAATGCTCTAAAATTTCAATCAAAAAGAAGAGACTGTCATACTAAAAGTAACAGCCATCTATGTTTTCCAAAAAGAAATACACTTGAAAAATAAAATTGTACATAAGAGTAACAGTTTATCTAAAGGTGAGGCATCTACACAACATGAAAAGTAAAATTTTATTGACTTTTTATGATTCTTTGCCATAGTGTGAATTAAATTTTATGAATTTGAGCCATAAGAAAGTATATCAAGTGAGGTTTCTGGAGTATATCTTTGTTTTTTTTTCTTACCACTTTTTTATTATACTTTAAGTTCTGGGATACATGTGCAGAACATGCAGGTTTGTTACATAGGTATACCTGTGCCATGGTGGTTTGCTGCACCCATCAACCTGTCATCTACATTAGGTATGTCTCCTAATGCTATCCCTCCCCTAGCCTCGCACCCCGCAACATGCTCTGGTGTGTGATATTCCCTTCCCTGTGTCCATGTCTTCTCGTTGTTCAACTCCCACTTATGAGTGAGAACATGCAGTATTTGATTTTCTGTTCTTGTGTTAGTTTGCTGAGAATGATGGTTTCCAGCTTCATCCATGTCCCTGCAAAGGACATGAACTGATCCTTTTTTATGGCTGCATAGTATTCCATGGTATATATGTGTCACATTTTCTTTATCCAGTCTATCATTGATGGGCATTTAGGTTGGTTCCCAAGTCTTTGCTATGGTGACTAGTGCTGCAATAAACATAGTGTGCATGTGTCTTTATAGTCGAATGACTTATATACCCAGTAGGGGGATTGACGGGTTAAATGTTATTGCTGGTTCTAGATCCTTGAGGAATCGCCACACTGTCTTCCACAATGATTGAACTAATTTACACTCCCACCAACAGTGTAAAAGTGTTGCTATTTCTCCCCATCCTCTCCAGCATCTGTTGTTTCCTGACTTTTTAGTGATTGCCATTCTAACTGGCATGAGATGGTATCTCATTGTGGTTTTGATTTGTATTTCTCTAATGACCAGTGATGATGAGCTTTTTGTCATATGTTTCTTGGCCACATAAATGTCTTCTTTTGAGAAGTGTCTGTTCATATCCTTTGCCCACTTTTTGATAGGGTTGTTTTTTTCTTGTACATTTGTTTATGTTCCTTGTAGGTTCTGGATATTAGCCCTTTGTCAGATAGATAGATTGCAAAAATGCCATTGGGAAAACTGGCTAGCCATATGCAGAAAACTGAAACTGGACCCCTTCCTTACACCTTATACAAAAATTAACTCAAGATGGATTACATACTTAAACATAAGACCTAAAACTTTAAAAACCCTAGAACAAAACCTAGGCAATACCATTCAGGACATAGGCACAGGCAAAGACTTCATGACTAAAACACCAAAAGCAATGTCAACAAAAGCCAAAATTGACAAATGGGATCTAATTAAAGAGCTTGTGCACAGCAAAAGAAACTATCATCAGAGTGGAGTATATCTTATAGACTTAAAACCCCTCCCCAACAAATTATTAGTTATAACTCCCTTGGCAAGTCACTTGAACCTCTCCAAATATTGTGCTTCTTAACTATAAAATCATAGCAATAATAACTTATTTCAGATAATTGTGGTGGTAAATTATATAGACTCTTTGCCTTTTTGGTATGAAATAAATATTGTAAGGTTATTACACATTTTTCTTTGTGGAAAGTGGTGTTATATTTAAAGAAACTTCTATGATGTTTATTGGAGAAACTGAAGACTTTTAACTAGAAATAATTCTTGATTAGAAAGCATAAGCGTGCATAAAATACAAAGAAGAATTTTGAATTCTGCCCTGGCTTAGATCTCTGATGTCTTAGAAGATCACCACATAATTAATATAGAGCCCTAAGATGTATTCATTTGTACATTTATAGGAATTCCCTTTACTTTTGACTTTTCTCATTTAAATTCTAAATAAAAATCTGCTTGAACAAAATGAAGTCAAATTAGCATTCTAATTATATACTTTGTTATGGACTTAATGTTGGTGTTTCCTCAAAATTTATATGTTGAACCCTAACCGATGGTGATGCTATATTTAAAGATGGGTCCTCTAGGAAGTAATTAAGGTTAAATGAAGTCATAAGGGAGGGGCCCTGATCTGATAGGATTAGTATTTTTGTAAGAAGAGATACCAGAGAGCCCTTTCTCTTTCTTTTCATGCACATGCACCAAGGAAAGGCCATGTGAGAACACAGTAAAAAGTAGGCTGTCTGTAAGCCAGGAAAAATACCCTTGCCAGAAACTGAATTGGTCAGAGCCTTGATCTTTACCTTCTAGCATCTGTAATTGAGAGAAAACAAATTTCTGTTTTTTAAGCTACCCAGTCCACAGTCTTTTGTTTTTGCAGCCTGGGCTGGCTAATAAATACTTAGTTATTTTAAAATTGGCAATACTAACAAGTTATGAGGAGTAATATTGAAGCTATTTTCAGAAAAATCAGAGTCATAGGAGTCAAATGTTTTCTTCATTTTATTATGCTTATATTTTGCTCTAGGAATTACAATGTATAGAGCATATTATCTTTGCTCTAGGTTTTATTTTTCTACATCTATAAGGTATTATCTCCCTATCGTAAGTTATACCAACTTCCCTGAAGTTATTATACGAAGAAGAATGCAAGAAGAGCAAATTCAACAACACAGGTGTCAGTTCTTGTACATCAGTGAATCAAGCTATAAACGATTAAGTCCCGACTATTGTCTCAGGTTTAGGTTAGGCTGATATATAAATGGATTATGTAGGAAGGCTGCCTTAGGAAAAATAATTTATTTGAAATAGTAAGAGTTGCATATATGCAATAGTATTATAAGCAAACATACATAAGAAGCATATGCTATTAATATCAGTGTTTTAATCATAGCCAAAGGACAATAAACTTGCAGCGACATGTGGACTTTTCTGTGAGAGAAAATTAAAATCTCCTTTGTACTTGAAGGTAACAGAGAGCTTGTAAGGCAACTAGGACTTGAGGAAATACAATTTCAAGAAAATGGGAGTTGTGCTGGAATTTGGTAGGACATTTTGCAGCAGCTATTTGCCTCATAATATTTTCCAATTCTGAGAACAGAGTAAAAAGTTGAGAATCTCAGCAACACTTGAGAAATGGTCTAATACTAAGAAACATGGAAAAAGAGATCTTGTAGCCATTGTTAAGACCAAAGACCATAGATACTCAAGGCCCTTGAATCACAGTGCAGCTTGGATGCAGATCAGAGTTACAGACCAACCCAGGTTCGCAGCTGGAACCTCTTGAAGTCTATGCTCTAGAGCCATGGTGAACCAAAGAGTAGAGACTTAATTCAAAATGTAATCTAACTTTTAGTCATGATGATGCCAAATTAGATTAAGGTGATTAGTAGTGGTTCCATCTTTCCAGCAAAGATATAGGTGAACTCTCTAGGTAAGAGGAAAAAAAAATCACCCAGAGATTACAAAATTCCATACTTAAGGTCTGAGATTCAATGAAAATCATTCTACCCCTTACATGAGAGAACAACTGATCTAAACTCAACTGAAAACAAACATTGGTTTTATAACCTGAGGCTTGACTGAATTCATTTATCAAATATAGGATTCCGTTAGAGAAGTCTTTAGGATTTTCTATATATATCATTATATCATTGGCAAACAGAGATAGTTTGACTTCCCTTTTTCCAATTTGGTTGTCCTTTATTTCTTTCTCTTGCCTGATTTTTCTGGCTAGGACATCCAATACTAGGTGGAATACAAGGGGTGAAAGTGGGCCTCCTTTGTCTTTTTCCAGTTCTTAGGGGTAACGCTTTCAACTTTTCCCCATTCAATATGATGTTGGCTGTAGGTTTGTCATGTATGACTTTTATTATTTTAATGTATATTCTTTCTGTGCTTGGTTTGTTGAGAGTTTTTATTATAAAGGGGTGCTGGATATTATTGAAGGCTTATTTATGTCTATTAAGATGATCATATGGTTTTTGTTTTTAATTCTGTTTATGTGATGAATCACATTTATTGACTTGCATATTTTGAACCACCCTTGCATCCCTGGGATGAAATGCACATAATCATGGTGGATTATCTTTTCGATATCTTTTTGGATTTGGTTTGCTACTATTTTGTTGAGGATTTTTGCATCTATATTCATTAGGAATGTTGGTCTATAGTTGTTTTTTTTTCTTTCTTTTTTGGTTATTTCATTTCTTTCTCAATCTTTTGGTATAGTTTAAGTAGGACTAGTACCAATTCTTCATTTAATGTCTTGTAGAAATTAGTATAACTGCTATACAACAATAACGACCAAGCTAAGAATCAAAGAACTCAGTCTCTTTTACATTAGCTGCATATAAAATAAAATAAAATACCTAGGAACATACTTAACTAAAGAGGTGAAAATCTCTACAAGAACTACAAAACACTGCTGAAAGAAATCATAGATGACACAAATGAATGATAATGTATCCTGTGCTCATGTATTAGAAGAACCAATATCATTGAAATAACCACAGTACGTGAAACAATCGACATATTTAATACAATTGCTATCAAAATACCAGCATCAGTTTTCAAAGAATTAGAAAAGACAATCCAAAATTCATATAGAACCAAGAAAGAGTCAGAATAGCCAAAATATTCTAAGCAAAAAGAACAAATCTGAAGGTATCACATTACTCAACTTCAACCTATACAACAAATCTATAGAAACCAAAACAGCATAATACTGGTGTAAAAGTAGATACATAGACCAATGGAACAGGATAGAGATAGCAGAAATAGAGTAAAATACTTACAGTCAACTGATCTTTGACAAAGCATACAAAAACACATATTCATGAAAGGACACCCTGTTCAATAAATGGTGCTGGGAAAATTGGATAACCACATGCAGAAAGAATGAAACTAAATCCCTGTCTCTCACTATATACAAAAATAAACTGAAGATGGATTAAAGACTTAAATCTAAGACCTGAAACCATAAACATTCTAGAAGAAAACCTGGGAAAAACTCTTCTAGACATTGACCTAGGCAAAGAAGTTATGACTAAGACCCCAAGAGCAAATGCAACAAAAACAAAAATAAATAAAAGGAAATTACATGGAAAAGCATCTTCACAGCTAAAGAAACAATCAACAGATTGTTTTGAGCTACTAATTATTTAATATTATGTTGTTTAATTTCCGTATAGCAGCAAATATTCCAAATTTTCTTTTATTATTCTAAATTTATTCCATCGTGATCAAAGAATATGCTTTGTATGACTTCAAGTTTTAATTTATTGAGGCTTGTTTAATGGCCTAATATGGTCCATTCTGAAGAATATGCCACATGCACTAAAGAAAACCATGTAATCTATTGTTGGGTGGATAGTTCTATAGATGTCTATTAGATCTAATTGGTGTATAGTGTTTTTATGCTTTCTATTTCCTTGGTGATTTATCTTGTTGTTTTATTCACTAATAAAAGTGGGATGTTAAAGTCTTCAACAATCTTTATTTAAATATATATTTCTCCATTCAATTCAGTTACGTTTTGTTTCATGTATTTTGGGGCTCCATTGAAATGTGCATATATTCCTATAATTTTTTACTGTCTTAATGGATACACACTTTTATTATTATTTACTGTCTTCTTTTGTCTGTCATCAGTTTTGTCTTAAGGTTTATATTGCTAGACATTAGCATAGCCTTTCCAAATTGTTTTGTGTTACTGTTTACATGGAATATCTTTTTTTATACTTTTACTTTCAACTTATTTGCATCTTTGAATCTGAAATGAGTCTCTTGTTGATGGCATATAGTTGGATTAGGTTGGTGTGTGTGTGTGTGTGTGTGTGTGTGTGTGTGTGTGTATGTGTATGTGTGTTCCTTCCTTTCAATCTCTTCTTTTTAATTGTATAATGTATTATTGTTTAATATAGTTACTGGAAACAAATGACTTCTACCATTTAGTAATTTGTTTTCTATATGTCTTATATTCTTTGTCATTCCTCAGATTCTCTATTACTGACTTCTTTTGTGTCAAATAGATATTTTCTAGTGTGCCATGTTTATTGCCTTAGCATTTCTTTTACTATACATATTTGAGTAATTTTCTTAGTATTTGCTTTTAGAATTATAATTAACATCTTAATTTATAATAATTCATTTCACATTAGTAACAATTTAGTTTCTTTAGTATATGAAAATATAGCCCTCTCCCCTCAATATGTTGTTGTCACAAATATTATCTTTAAACACTGTGTTTTTATCTACACAGATTTATAATACTGTTTTTTGTACTTGCCTTTTAAGTCATAAGGAAATAAGAGGAGTTTCAAACAAAAGATATATCAATCCTGACATGCATATCTGCTTATGAAATTGCCCTTACTGGTGTTCTTTTCTTTGTATGTATTCAGATTATTAATTTTCTTTTATTTCAGCCTAAAGGACATTCTTTAACATTTCTGGTAGGAAAGGTCTACTAATGACAAACTATCTGAATTTTTATTTATCTGTAATGCCTCCTTCATTTTGCAAGAAGAGGTTTACCAAATACAGAATTCTTGGTTAAGAGTTTTGTCTTTAGCAATTTAAATATAATTCCCCTACTTGCTAGCTTCTATAATTTCTGATACAAATTAGTTATTATTATCATTGAGAATCTCTTGTATGTGGCAAGTTGATTCTCTCTCAATGCTTCTAAGATTTTCTTTTTTTCTTTGTCCTCCAAAAGTTTGATTATAACATGTCTGGTGTGGATCTCTTTGAGTTTATTCTATTTGGAATTCATTGTGCTTTTCAGCTGTATAGATTAATGTTTTTCATTAAATTTAGGAAGCTGTCAGCTATTATTTATTCAAATACTCTTTCTGTCCCCCTTTTCCTCTTCTTTTCTGCTGGAACTCTATTATGTAGATATTGGTAACACATCATAGTGTCCCAGGACTCTTAGTGTCTATTTATTTTGTCTCATTTTTTTATTTATATTCTCAGATCAAATAATCTCAATTAACCTATCTTTAGGTTTGCTTTATTCTTTCTTCCGCCTACTCAGATTGGCCAGTGAAACTCTCTAGTGTTTTTCCTTTTACATTTCAGTTTTGTAGTTTTTGTCTCCAGAATTTGTTTCATTCATTTTTATAAATTATGTATCTTTATTCATTTTCCTTACTTGGTAAGAAAGTTTCCTCATGGTAATTTTGGGTTTTTTGCACATCTTTTGAGCATTTTTAAAATAGTTGGTTTAAAGTCTTAATTTAGTAACTGCAGTATCTGATCTTTCTCAGGAAGGGTTTTTATAGTTTTTGAATTTTCCCATGTAGAAAGCATACTACTTTTTGTGTGTTTCTTATACATTTTGTTGAAAATAGAATATTATGTATATTATAATGTACTAATTTTTGGAAAACATTATCTTTCTTTCAGGGTTTGTAGTTGTTGCTTCTTGTAGATGTGCCTTTTTTAGTAACTTTATTGAACTTATTTTGTAGTATATATATTTTTTGATATGTGTGGCTGTTGAAGAATCTGTTTCATTAGCTCTGTTGTTAGCTAGGGTTGGCCAGAAGTTTTCTTAAGTGTCTGGGACTGAGAAAAACATGTTCCAATTTCTGAACATAGGCTTTTTGAGTGGTCACACATGCCTTTGAGACACTGCTAGGTAGTTTACAAGTCTGTCTGAGCCTTTACTTCTGATTTCCACAAAGCTTAAATGCCACCCAGACATAAGAGCTTAGGGCATTTTCAGACCTTTCCTAAGCATGTGCGTATCTTTATGTGTTCATGGCTTTCTAGAGTCCCATAAACGTTTTGGAGATTTTCAAAGCCCTAATCCCCAAGGAATTGTATTCCCCAGCTTTCCTTCAAGATTTTTGTTTAGTCTATTGTTTTTCCCCACAATTAGCCACTGTCCCAGGCAATAATGGCTAATAAATTTGCCTCTTAAAGGCTTTAAACAAATGCGTCCTGAGCAGCTGCCTCAACTGAGACTGTTCTGAGGTAGATCAAAGACCAATCCTTTGGACATCCTCTGTTGAGCCAACACACAGATCAAAGCACACTAGCACAATTCTTGGCAGGTAAGTTTCATTCTGCAACTTTGTGCACCAATACCTGAACGAGGAATATGATTGTTATCTTCAAGGTAACCAACGAACTGAGAGTGGGAGTGGGAACAGGGTAAGTTAAATGTCACAAAACTCTTTTTTCTTACCGAGATTTTCATTATTCATTTATGGATTAATTTATTTATTGAGGTTTTTTTTGGTTATGCATTCCCATGTCTGCTGTAAATTTTAGTTTCTAGAGTTCCAAAAATTTTGACTTAAGCAGGATTTCCAGTTTATTTTTTGCTTTTATGGAGGAATAGATTTTGGAATATTTTAATACATACATACATGAAATTATCAAAAGATGGCTATCTTGCTGGAAGCTAAATTTCAGTATACTCCCACCATTTTTCAATCTCAAATCTGTTTCCCATTTCTGTTTCTGACACCTGGCTGAAAACATTGGCATCAGTTTTGCAGGCATTGTCTTTCTTTATACCTTACAGTTAATAAATTGTCAGTAAATTGTCAGCACCCCATTTCTGTACACCATCTCCTTACAAGAAATTCTCAGGATCTTTAAACAAATCCACTGTGATAACTTCCTAGCTAAAAGCTATGCCTCTAGACTTTTCTCCACCTAGTGTTCTAAAAGTAAACTTTTCTCTTTTTTATTCCGATGTCACCCAAATTCTTTTAGGCAACAAAATAGAACTACTTGTTGATTCTCAAATATTGTGTATGTGTCCATGTCAATTTCAGATGTCTTTTTGTTACCAATAAAATCTAAGTTATTGCTATTATTTATCCAACTACAAATACCACATATTTAGGGGAACTCTTCCTCCCACAATAGAGGTTAAATCTCTAACTGTTTTTACTAATGTTACTTTATCCTGTCATTATTTTATTGTAGTCTTTGTATGTATATATGCATTATACTTCTTGAAAAGTCTTCTGAGGGCAGAGATTGGCCTTTTTATTTTTGTATCTAGTACCTTTCTAAGTGTTTTTGCATCAGTTTTCTACTCAGAAAATATGCATTGAATTGAGCGAAATACCTAATGTAATTCGCTTATCAAAATTTGGCAACATGTAATTCATTAAATATACATGTTTCATGTATGTACCAACCATCAAATTTAATAATTATGAATATCCCCCAGATATTGCTATTCTGTTGCAGAAAAGAGTCAAATAACAGTTATGTTAGAAAAAGGTTAAATATATATGTTTTTTGTAGAAATGTCAGAGGAAGTCCTCAATGAGCAACTCTTCAATATAAGCTGGAAAATATAGCAATTGCACTTTTTACTTTTATGTAAAGAAAGTCTATATTTATAGATCAGCTGGCTATACTTTCATAGAAATCTTTTAAAATATTTGCATACCTTGAGGATTAAAGATGACTCCTTTATAAAAGATCATTAAGAAGTTATATTATAATTAAAATTTTATTTACTGTATGATCAAAGTTGTTTTGTGACTTTTCCTTGTCTTCCAAATCACAATAAATAGGTATTTATCTCCTTGCTTTTAGTCAAATGATTGTAAATGGGCATTGAGGGAATATTTTTCTTCAGATTTGTTGACTGAATTTTTGTAAGGCCAAGCCATTCTTACCTCTTTAATATTCTTAGTAATTACTCCACACAGTGCTATAATTGCTCATTCTGTTCTTCATTTACAGTAAGGACACACAATGATTAATTACCTCTGATTCTGTTGGCCAGGTTTCATTACCCATACAAAATATATTAGTAGTCTTGGAGAATGGGTATTTTTAAGGGCTTTTCATCAAAATTTCCTGTTGTGCATCCTCGGTATGACCATCTTTCTGTGGTCCTCTTCATTGAATGGAAAGAAGGCTCAGCCTCTGTTGACATTTCCATCATGTCTTGACTGTGCAGCATTATCTTAACTTTTATCATCAAATTTTGAATTTTCTCAAAAACTTTTATAGGTGTTATGCTAATCATTTTATTCTCAGCACACTCAAGAAGGGAAATGAAAGTGAATGTAACTGTGCCTATTTACATATGAGAAAACTGAAACCCAGAAAGGTTACATGAGTTAAGTTTAATGGCCAAAACCAGTTCTGCTGAGAACTAGCTCATTTCTATTTTTATAAAGTTATGCTGCTGTCATTGATTGATTATAATCTTCCTGGACAAAAATGTTTTCCATGTAATTGTTTTTATGCTATCTCAGAGGGATTTTGGTAAACAAAACTTATTTTACCAATTTTGAGAAATGCAGAAGAAAATAATGTTATTTAAGCTTGTATAGTTTCTATGTCATGTGTTTTTTTTCTCTTAAGGGCTAGAATCAGTGTAATGTACTAAGATATTAGTAATTCTTTTTATTAGTAGTATTTATCACGTTTCAGTAGAACCTTCAATGAAACATATGTATCAAAAATGGCACCAAGAATGTTGAAGAACTAGTGAAAAAGAAAACCTGATAGCATAATCTACGTGTGCAAATTTTCCTTCATTGGTCCCATTAACCAACTTGTAATAAACTTTAAATAAACTGTTTATTTTTAGCTAAATGAAAGCTATCTTCCATACTTTGAAAGGAGCAAAAGTTACATGTGATATTCAAACCCACTTCATGGTATTGTGACATACCTGAGTACATATATATATGTTTTAAAGACTTTTATGATGTATTTTAGTTCTAAAATTCTGATAATTTTAAAGACTGATGAGAAAAACCAAATATATGAGAATATAATCCAAATAGTTATGAATTTTGAGTTTAGCATTTTGTCATATATCTCAGAACTTAACAGAAACAAAGTTCTATTTTGGGACATATATTGGTGAATAGAGTACCTCATTTTAGTTTTATACCATATAAACCACTTTCTACCTATAAGAGAAACCTTGCTACAAGATACAACCACAGGGAGATTAAAGGAGGTGTTGCTTCCTAATAGTGAAGAGTAAGTAGCTAATAGATATGTGGGTAGAATATTTAATCTCATGAATTTTGTTACTCTCTCATGAAGAGAGTTTAACAAATTAGATTTAACTTTTATATGTAACATTTTGTCAGGTAAACCTCATCTGAGGTTGATGATGTTTCATAAGCAATCCCCATCCAGAGAACAGGTTGGAATTTAGTGTTACTGCTGTATTTTTTAAACTCTCTCATCACCTTTACATTGTGTTGAAATGATCTTTATACATAATTTTGTCTCTTTATAGGTATTTCATAGGATAGACAATAGCAATATCATCACAGATGTTTCTTCATGGGGAGAGACAGCCGTGTTCACCTACAAGTAGTATGTACCGTGAAAAACTTAATTCAAACAGATGCTATCTAATTAAAACATTATAAGATGCATCGCTTCCCCTTCCCAACCCTATACAGAAACACATCTCAGAGATCAATAGAAACAAAGTTCTAAATTAGCTGCAGGTTTTATGTTCATCTTTACTCATAAGTCAATATATTTATATATTATATAAAAGGTATTTCTTTATTACAAATTTTAAAGATAGAGAATTTATGTATTTCTTTTCATAGCGATCTTCTTCTGCTTTTCCAAATCTTCATTTGAACCAAAATTCTGACCTCTTTAAGTTCAATACTTTTGGATGATTTTCTGTTGGGAACAACAAGGCTACTGGATACTGCTTATCAGGAAGCCTGATTCCCTCCCTCTCACACAATCCCCATAATGGTCTTTTTTGCCTACATTTTGATTGGCTACTTATTGGCTTTCCAGGAAAATTTCCTATTATCTCATTAAGGCATACATACATTGCTTACATCTATTTGAATGATTCTAATCACTTGCCTATTTACAAATTTTGATTTTTTTTCACTTTTCTATTGTTATTCATTCACTTGTGTGCATTGTCTCAGACCTCCAGCAGTACCATCTTGCTAGAAGTGAGAGAGTGCTTACCCTCATCTTGTCCCTGACTGTAGAGGAAAATATTTCAATTTTTCACAGTTGAGTATGATCGTAACTGTAAACTTGTGATATGTGGTCTTTATTGTGTTCAGATACATTCTCTCTATATCTAATTTGTTGGGTTTTTATTATGAAAGGATGTTGAATTTTTTCAATACTTTCTCTGCATCTATTGACATGAGCATATGACCTGAAACTGTGAAACTCCTAGAAGAAAATGTAAAAAAAAAAAAAAAATCTCCTTGACACTAGTCTTGGCAATGATTATTTTGAATATCACACAAAAAGCATAGGTAATAAAAACCAAAATAAACAAGTGGAAGTATACCAAACTAAAAAGCTTCTGCACAGCAAGGGATACAATTCACAAAAAGAAAATGCAAAACATGAAATGGGAGAAAATATTTGCAAAACATATAGCTGATAAGGAGTTAATATCCAAAATATATTAAGAACTCACTCACTTAACAATAAGAGACTTACATTGAATAGACATTTTTCCAGAGAAGACATGACAATTGCTAGTGAATGTATGAAAAGATTCTCAACAATATGAATCATCAGAGAAATGCAAATTAAAGCCACAAGGAGATATCTCTTCATATCTGCTAAGATGACTATTATCAAAAAGTCAAAAAATAACAAGTATTCATGAGGGTTTGAAGAAAAGAGAACTCTTGTACACTGTTGGTGGGAATGTACTTTGGGATAGCTATTGTGGAAAAGAGTATGGAGTTTCCCCAAATGTTAAAAATAGAACTACCATATGATCCAGCAATTCCACTTCTGGGTATATGTCTAAAGGAAATAAAATCAGTATCTTGAAGAGAGAGCTATGCATCCAGGTTTATTGCAGAATTTTAAAAATAGCTAAGACATGAAAGCAACCTGAGTGTCTGTTGATGGCCGAATGAATAGAATAAGTAGTATACATATAAAAATGCACACAAATACACACACACACACACGCGGCTGAATGTTATTCAGCCATAAAACAACAACAACAAGGAAATCCTGCTATTTGCGAGAACTTGGATGAACCTGGAAGATATTTTGCTAATTGAAATAAGCCAGACACAGAAATACAAATACTGTATGATCTCACTTGTGTGTAGAATCTAAAGCATATGATCAGAGAGGAGAACAGTGGTTGCCAGGAGCTAGGGGAATGGGGAAGATGGGGGGATGCTGGTCAAGGGTACAAAACTTACAGTTATAAGATGAATAAGTTCTAGAGGTCTAATGGACAGCATGATCACTGTAGTTAATAATACTGTATTGCTTACTTGAAATTGAATTAAAGATCAGATTTTAAATGCCTTACCTCACTTCCAGTGTGCACACACACACATACACATTGATTTATCTTCATCCACACCTATGGTCTCCTACTGAGTTCTCTCTAAGTACATCACTGAGGAAGAAAATATCTGCATGATATTCTGACACATATGAAAGGGTATTGTTTTATTATTTCCATGGCAATTTGAGATGATACTGAAAGATGGTAAAAGGAAATTCTTGAACTGGGTAGATATTTTCTACTACATCTTGGCTACTTTGCTTAGATGAAGAGATGGCCAGAGGTGCAAGTCTGTATTAAATTTGGGGCAGTGGCTCATGGTTTGGGGAGGTAGACAAAATATGGGAAGAATGTGATTAGAATATGCCAAAGAAGTTTAAAGAAGAGACACATGAATGTATCTTTCACAATGAGTATAAAGTATAGAATACCAGTGTCCCATGTATCTTGTCTGTAGACAGTGCTCATTGCTGAGAAGGGGCTCAGAATTCTTCCTTGAGCTAAGCAAGATGGGCTTCTCCTGACTGGGGCTAATTTATTTCCTGCCACTGCTTTGTGTCCAACCAACCAACAACAGGAAAATACTATGAGTCCTCAGTGTATAACTATTCTTAGTAAGGACTAGCCAAGCACTTGAAAGCAGCTTGTCATATCAAGACTTTTTCAATCAGGAAGGAAGGAGAAGGTTGTTCTGACTCGTATAGATACTAATTCTTGCTATGGATTTGCCTCTTCTCCTACAGACACTTCTGCCAACAGTGCTACTTGGGGACCTAGGGAATGCTGTAAAATATACTCAATGAATGATATCCTTCACATCTTTTTTCTGGACAAATAGTTGACTTTCAAAAAAATAGCTGTAGCCATAGGCTTATTGCTACAAAACATAGTGTTCTAATCAAGTAATTCATTACCCAGAAGCAGTTGGTCTTACCAAATGTTCAAAAGGTCAGTCAGAGCCCTTCTTATATTTTGTTTTCAATTCCCCATTACCTCCAACACTATTATCAATATTAAGACAACCAAACAAGTTGTTGTTTTCACTAAAATTCCTGCAGTACATTTAACTGTAAACCTCTTGGAGAATCAGTCAAGGCATACATAATTAAAATATCTTGTATTTTCTTTGATATATCCAAATACATTCTTATTTGTATTTGTAGTATATTTTACTAAAAACAATACAATTTTCTGGGAATTATGGGTTTTGTAGGTTAATCAGTGTGGTGGAAGGATGAATTTATACAATATCAAGAGGTTGAAACAAAGACACTAACAAGTGAATAATTACCAAGCTTGAATCAAAACCCTACTAATGTTTCAGACCATGGACACCTAAAGACAGTTAATTATAGATTTATTAACAAGTGTTCTTCACTTTTATGTGATAAATTAAAAGCAGCATGTTAGCAGACCTTGTCTTAAAAATCATTGTGCAAAAACTTCTTCAGAATATATGGAGAGTGAATATAAAATAATCTCATCCAAAGTAAGTGGGTTTCCTCCCACAAAAGATTTAAAAACTTAATTTTAGACTTAAAACTACTTAAATGAAAGAGAATGCTATAAGCAGAAGTTAAAATTCTTAATAATTTCTACCCTTCACAGCAATGAAAACCATTGATTACTAAACACTCTGCTTACAGCAACTAGCTATATAAAATGACTACATTTCAGGAGTCAGGGTCCTGATGCTTTAATCAGTGTTTGATTACTCTTAATCAGTGTTTGAATTACTCCCAAGGTAGTGTGCCTGTGTCAGTAAGATAGATTATATGATCAGCAGCTGCTTTACCAAGGTAGAGAAATTGAAAATCTGGGATTCTAGGCATCAGGATATGAATATTTGGAGACACCTTAGTACTTCAAGTTGCTGATTTAAAAAATCTTAGGTGAAAAATTTAAAGTATTATGTCTACTTCATCCAAATGTGGGCTTTGGTACCAAGCAACAGAAGTTGAAGGGTCCAAAGACTGACATCCCAACTAGTTAAGCCAAATGCATCACTGGTGTGCAAAACATTTTTTGTGGAAGAATTTCCAAATAATAGGACATTGACTTTAGTGGCCATAGCTCATGATTTCCTACAAAATATACATCACCATTCATGTGTTGTACAATAACTCCTGTATGTGACACAACCTCCTTTAAATTGCACTATCCTTTGCCTTAAATTGCTGAAAGTCAATGCAGCTGTCTGAATCACAGTGGTAGTAAGTCTACCACCTGTTCAATTTCTAGGCTATGCTGAAAATAAATGGTAATCCATTCATGTTATACTTTCTACAAAGGATTTTCATAGAAGTGCTTGATTTCTGAGTTAGTGTAAAGGTTTCTTATGAGGAAGAATACAATCCAAAGCACTCTATCTCTAGCTTTGTTATTTTATTATGCAAAATGAGAATGATTTTTAACTCATCTATTTAACATACATGAACTTAATTAGATACTTGCCTAGTAATATAAAGTCAAGGGTAATTTTCAAATGGCACCTTATTTTGCTGCTTCTTAGTACTGACATCTGCTTTGGGTTCACTTAGATCTATTTTTCCATGCACTATATAAAAATAATTAAAGTTAGGTTCTATGCCCTCCTTGTAGTTTATCTTCTCAACTAAGATGTTCTTTATCCCCCATTATAAACCTGAGAAAATAGGCTATTGAAAATCTCATAATTTTCAGTCGGGCACAGTGGCTCATGCCTGTAATCCCAGCACTTTGGGAGGCCAAGGTGGGTGTATCACCTGAGGTCAGGAGTTTGAGACCAGCCTGGCCAACATTGTGAAACCTCACTCTACTAAAAATACAAAAATTAGCTGGGCATGGTGGCACATACCTGTAATTCCAGCTGCTCAGGAGGCAGAGACAGGAGAATTGCTTAAACCTGGGAGGTGGAGGTTGCAGTGAGCCAAGATCGCGCCACTGCACTCCAGCTTGGGCAAGAGTGAGACTCCATCTCAAAAATTAAATAAATAAATAAATAAATAAATAGAAAATCTCACAATTTTCTAATTGGGAGGAGTAGACTTTTACTTTAGGGATAATAGTACTGTCAAAATCATTAACATAAGTAAGATCAGTTATTCACTATCTTTCTTTCCTCCTAACTCTTCCAATTTAGTTGAATTCCCTTGACTTCTATTCTATCTTGCTTTAAAAATGGTGGCAAAATTGCAGACTGTTTCTAGTAACAATAAGGAGTGAGGTACTTGGTTCTGGCTTTATTGCTACTTGATTTGTCATATTGGTCAAATTACCAAAATATGATTGATGGGCAATTTTTATTCTCTGTTAGATATGAAATAGTATTCATGTTCCCCTCTTTCAGGGATATAATGGAAATGCAAGTGTTCATATTATGCAAAAAAATAAGTCACTATATTTTCAGCATTGTATATTGAGAAAATGACTTTTGAAGAGTCTTATTTCCCAAATTTATCTACAAGCAAGCAACTCTCTCAGATCTAATTTTAATTAAAAAGTTTCCTGAATAGATCCTGGGATTATGAGACAATAAATCACTTTATTGTTAATATTACTGTGGACTGAATTCTGTCCCCTCCGACTTTGTAAGTTGAAACCCTTATCCCTAATGTGGTGGTATTTGGAGATAGGGCCTTTGGAAAGGTCATTAAGGTAAAACGTGATCATAAAGATGGGACCCAAATTCAACATGATTCGTGTTGTTATAAGAAGAGGAGAGATTCCAGAAACCTTTCTTGCTCCACTAGCGCACATAGAAAAGGCCATGTGAGGACATTGTAAGAAGGTGGCCATATGCAAACCAGAAAGAGAGCCTTCACTAGTTGCCAACCCTGATGGCACGTTAATCTGCGACTGCTAGCTTCCAAAGTTGTGAGAAAGGAAATTTCTGTTGGTTACGCAACTCAGTCTGTTGGTATTTTTTCATGGCACCCTGAACAGACTAATAGAAGAATAAAATATTTAAATTCATGAAGAAATTGACAAAACAGAACAAACTCAACAGTCACATAAAATACATCTAAAGTTTTATTAAGTGATAGGATGATATACAACATTTATAGTTTATTCATCTATAATTTTATTTTATTAATATTTTAACACATATTACACAATGGTTTGCATGAATATCTGGAAATCCAGGAGCTTGTATGGCAGATAATTTAGCCACATCACAGAATCATCTTTTTTTAAAAAAGAGAGACTTAGACAATTCCATTTTGCTACCTACTACTCAAGGCAAATGGATATAAATAACTTTGGCATCATTAATTTCTTTCTGCTTTTATATAGAACATTTTTCTGTTGAGCTACATTTTATCAGAAAAAAGCATTATTTCTTTAATATGCAATTAGCACTGTTTTTTTAAACCATATTTTTGTTCTCTTTAAATTCCCCGCTGTTGCCTTAAAGGTTAACAATATCTCAGATTTTTGCTTTAGTGATGACCAAACATAACTGACATAGCCTGCATTTGATACCATGTACTCTCTCTATATATGAATATGTATATGAATTTATAATATGGATATAGATAAAATATGAATATATAAAAATATGAATATTTGAATATATATAAATATATATGAATATATATATAGTGAATTGCAACCACCACCCAGCTTCTGCACATTTCATTTACCAATAACTTTTAAAGAATGAAATAATGCATTGAGACTGAACTTACTCACATTTGAATTTAAATATCAAAACAAATACTTTGCAAAATAGAATAATTAGAAAGCAACACTTTTTCCTCAGGTGATGTTGCATTGTTTCAAATAATTTGTGGGCTTACTTTTAGAGTTGTTTTCAGAGACAATATACTAGTCGTACATAAATATTTATCTCATTTATTTTTCTTCCTTTCTTGTTTTTTTTTTCAATATGTTTATTTTACCTTCCCTTCATTTTTGTTTTCTATTGACATTGACTTTAATTGAAAAAAAGATGGAAAATATCAGATTATAGAAAGAGTAATTTTGATGTCATCTTGAGGCTGGGCATCCAGTGAAATCCTGATAATGGAATATATTAAGAAGTAGACAAACATGAGTTTCTATCTTAGCTCTTGTCTGGAATACAGATTGTAGCCATTAGTAAATCAGATCAGGCAATCTAACCTATTTGCTAAAGAAAGCAAGCATTCCTCTTATACCAAAAAATTGAAATGGAAACTTAGATGAGTCATAATAATTTGGCAAAAGGAAGAATTGGGAAGAGAATTTCTCTTATCTCAAACAGATATTGAATCTCCATTTGCAATAGGTTCTAACACTAACTACAAGGAGTTAGACTAAACTTCACAGTTAAGGACATAGTCCTACACGTGCTTGCCCTTACTTTAGATAGCACCCACAAGTTTGGATGTCTCTAGTCCATTCTCACTTCTCACAAGCTAGCTACAGATTCGGGATGTTTCACTATTCCCTCAGATTTGACAAAATGTAGGAAAGTACTCTACTTATGATCACAGTATTATTAGAACAAAATGATACAAATAAAAACAGGCCAAAGGGATAGACACATAAGGTAAGGTCTGGCAACATCCCCAAAATGATCCTTCCATAATTCACAGGGTCATATTACCCTCCTGGCACATAAACTTACAACAATATGCCGAGAATTGCCAACCAGGGGAGCCTATCCAAGGTTCTTTGTCCAGAGATTTTATTGCAGCTTTGATATGTAGTCATGATTAAATCATTCACCATGTGGTTCTACTTAATTTTCAGCCTCCTTCCCCTTCTGAAAGGTAGGCTGATATCATGAAGCTGAAAGCCCCAGCCTTCCATTCCCATGAATGGTCTTTCTGGGTAACCAACCTCCATTCAGTGTCAGCTTGTTAGCATAAACTATCAGGTGTGGTCCTAGGGATCCACCATGAGTAACAAAAGATACTGCTACCACTTGAAAAATTCCAAAGATTTAGAGGTTATCACCCAGGAATGGGAAATAAAGCTCAGCAAAATTGTTTATTACATGCCATCTCATTGCCTTTTACTGTGGCAGAATTAATTATATTTAATCATTTTTAGTTTTCAGGATAGAATTAAAAAAATCTTGACACATTTGGCAAACAAACAAAATGAATTAACAATAACAATAATGGTGTTAACAGCTAGTGGAAATAAGTAAATTTACTCAGTGCTTTTCAGTAAATATGTATAATTCTAATCTTTTAAGTATAATAACTTAATAGAAATCTTTTTTTACAATATTATTTAAGGTAAGATACTAAATACTAAATGCTACAGTAAAATACTAAAGTATGAATTTGCCATTATTCTGATTTTAGTTCTGGAAGTTGTTTTATTGTTGTGTCTTCTCTTCTTAGAGTCAATGGATTTTAAAGTAGAAAAAAATGTTTTTTCCTCTTGAAAACAACAACAGCAGCTATATTTTGGATTATGCAAAATAAGTATTCATCAAGGATTATTCAATTCGATTCATACATTCACTATGCTTGGCTCTGATGTGAAGCCTATACACGTGCAAAATGTTTGAAATGTGAGCACTGCTCAATGGCTGTTTCACAACACATGTGAAGAAGTAGTTAATTTCTATAGACAAATGTTAAAGATTAGAAGCTTAAGTAATTATTATTCTTTATTTTACTAATGCTAGTGAAAAGTTTATCTTTGTCCACTCCCCATATCAAATTTGAATAAATCATGTTAAAGCGCCATGGAAATAAAAAGTCTTTCAGTATCCATTGTTACTTATTTTTAAAAAACATTGGGTCCCACAGAACTGAGCAATCAAAAATTATTTCTAACTTTTCTCATGTTCTGAGCCATGCATTCTTGGTAAAAGGAATGAAAGCAGTCCCTTTACTTATCATTTACCATATCTTAAAATTAACTCTGAAACTGAGAGAAGAATGATTCATTCTTTTTAAGGTTATTCCTACTTACTTCAAACCAAATAAAATCTTTTAGACAAGTGATTGATTTGCTAAAGTCAATATTTAGTAAACTAAAAGAGCAGATCTTTCAGAATTTATTGTGTCCCAATACAGTAATAATAAGAGCTCTTTATCTCTGTGGCATGATAGTTCTATATCAGCTGAATTTCAGTTTAAAAATAAATTATATATTATTTTATGAATATAAAATATATAATCATTACAGAAATCTTGAAGAATTGAAATACACACACACAGACACACACACACACACACACACACACATACATATATAGTATACAGTACAAAATATAAACCACCTGTAGAATAACCTGTTGGAAAAACCAAGTATCTTTCCTAATCATCTTAGGTTTATGGCTGAGGCACCTTTAGCAAAAGACAAATTAACAAGAGAAAACTATACGTATCTATTTAATGTAAGTTTTACATGACACATGAACGTTTATAAGAAAATGAAGACCTGAAGACATGGGTAGACATGTATGTTTTTTATGCTAGGTTTGATGATGAACTATGTAGTACTGGGGAAATATAATTGGATAAAAAACAAAAAACATGTTCAAGGATAATAAATGATAGGAAACCAAGCAAGGCCTGTTTGTTGAAATTCTTCTCTGTTCCTTTCCTTTGGGTATAGGCAGGGCACTTCCCAAATGAAGGTCTTATGACTTCCTTCAGGAGAATGTCAGAGAATTCTTCCTGGGTTTTATGACCTGCTTCAGGGAAGAAAGGCAGGGAGAAAGTCAGAGAGAACTTGCTGCTTCTGTGGTTTTCTCAAATGTGAAGGTGCCATATTTTGGGGTAGCATATCTTGAATCCAATCAAATCAATATTTAAAGTCAGCTCTGTTAAATATTGATGTGTTTCCTTTCTTTTTCCCTCCTAAGGTATATTGACAAGTAGGTATATAAATAGGTAAATTTTACTTAATAGATATCTTAGCATAGATGTGCATAAATATTAGCAAATTATGCACTGATATAAGCCAGAATAGTCAACTCCAAAATATGCCTCTTTAGCATGTGAATTATTTTGAGCTAAAGGCCCTTAGCAACCAGCATACTAGGAAAAGCTCTAAAAACAGAGTACAAATTTTCCTCTTGTATAGAAAATGTACATTTAAAAAGGAAATGTCCATCCGTAGAGGTGTCTCTCTCCTCCCTACCAGGAAGAGGAAGACACAATTTGTTAGTGGAGAAAGTACTAACTTAAATCTGCATAACAAACCTTACTAAGCGACCCTTGTTTACAAAGCTTTTTCTAATCACCCGCACATAACATGCCTCCCTGGTCAAGAAGCCCCAAACCCTCTTTCCTTTAACCTAAAACATTATGTAAGCTTAACTTCTAAAAGATCCTGTCGTTTACTAATCTCTAGGTTCCCCTGAGTTACCCATGCAATGCACATGTTAATACTCTTCTGTTTGTTTTGTTAATCTGTCTTTGGCCCATCTATTTTGCAGCATTCCAACTGGAGAACTTTAAGTAAGTAGAGGAAGATTTTTTTTTTCCGCTCCTACAGTGTATGAATGTCTATCTCTCTTTCTCTCTGTGTATGTGTGTGTGTGTGTGTGTGTGTGTGCATGTGTGTATAAATCCATATAAATATGTATAAGTATACTAATTTACTAAATTAGTCTATGCCTCTTTCAATATTTGAATTCTAATTTTGTTTTTTTGAGAAATTTGAACATGAATTATGAAAAAGAAAAACTGCGGGACTTGATAGTGACAGCCAAGTAATAAACATAGATAACCTTTATTTTTATCCTTGCTATGTGCATGGCTTTGGGGGAATTTACTTCATAAGCTCTGGGGACAGTCATGGTAATATATCTTCACTGGAAGAGTTTCTGTGGGTATCATGTAAGCCACACATCTTCTATGAAAAACCGTGAACATCTCGTGCTGATACAATTTATACTTTTATTTATAAATTGAGAATGCAGCTTAAGTCACAACTGCTGAAATATGAAGGGTTTATCTCTAGATTAGTTTAATGTGAATACTAACTTAAATCTATACTAATACTTGCTTATGTATATGCTTATAATAGTCATACTAGCCCCTTAAGATGGGTAGGGCAGATACTCAAATCCTTAGTTTTTAAAGGCTGAATTGAGATTTTAATTCGAAAGTAAATAAATTTTTAAATGAAATATTTGGAAAAAGTAAACATGGGTTAGCCACATATATTTACATCCCCTTTCTCCCTAGATTTCATTCAAATGTTAGAAAATAAACAGAAAATATAAATAAGAGTATCCAATTTTGATGAAAAAGGATAAAAGAATCAGAGTAAAAAAGAATTCCAAATGAAGAAACATAATGCCAGGCCCAGAAGAAACTTCACAGATAACTGTATTTAATAGCCTAAGGAGGATAAGAATATAGTTTGTACTGAAACCACCATTGCAAAATTACAACTGAGACAGTGAAACAGATCTGACCTAAGCAACTCCATGTTGCTTCTAACCTCCAAATTGTCCTTGTTCATTCCTGGGCGTAAGCTGAACTAACTCTGGGAATTACTTAGTTTATAGTTTAGAACAAAGACTGTAACATCCCTTTCCCAAAACAAACCTTCTTTTTGCGTGGGGACTAACCTGCCTTTGTAGGACTAACAAATTAGCCACAAGATTAAAAATTATAGTTTAGGAGTCATGCAGCTGGAGGCTACAAGATTCTGACCCTCCTTAAACTGCTCCTAGGATCAGTGCTTAAGATATTTTGCAGATCCTGCACTTGATAGATCAGGCAGGCCCCACCCAGAAGGATAAATGGCACATCTGATCTTGTGGCTCCCACTCAGGAACTGACTCAGTGGAAGAGGACAGCTTCAATTTCCTGATTTTACCTCTGACCCAACCAATCATCCCTCTCTACTCACTTGCCTTCCTCCAACACCAAATTATCCTTAAAAACTCTGATTCCCAAAGGAGAGGCTAATTTGAGTAATAATAAAACTCCAGTCTCCCACACAGCCAGCTCTGGGTGAATTACTCTTTATTGAAATTCCCCTCTCTTGATAAATTGGCTCTGTTTAGGCAGCGGGTAAGGTGAACTCATTGGGCAGTTACAGTACAAACATAAAAAAGAAAGCATAGGATGTTATGGAAAGGATCAGAGAGCTCTTGGAAACAAGTGAGATAGCTGAAACAACAACAATGGCAACAACAAAATGAGAGAATATTTGCAAAATAAAGAAAAAAAATCTTAGAACAGAATGATGATAATCTGTTTTTTTTTTGTTTTTTTTTGTTTTTTTTGTTTTTTTTAAACGGAGACTTGCTCTATCACCCAAGCTGGAGTGCAGTGGCGCAGTCACGGCTCACTGCAGCCTCTGCTTTCCAGGTTCAAGCAATTGTCCTGCCTAAGCCTCCTGAGTAGCTGGGACTAGAAGGCGCACGCCACCATGCCCGGCTAAGTTTTTTTTTTTTTTTTTTTTTTTTTTTTTTTTTCTAAGAGGGAGTTTCGCTCTTGTTGCCCAGACTGGAGTGCAATGGCGTGTGACCTCAGCTCACTGCAACCTTCGTCTCCTGGTTTCAAGTGATTCTTCTGCCTCAGCCTCCTGAGTAGCTGGGGGTATAGGCACCTGCCACCATGCCTGGCTAATTTTTTTGTATCTTTAGTAGAGACAGGGTTTCACCATGTTGGCCAGGCTGGTCTTGAACTCCTGACCTCAGGTGATCCACCCACCTCGGCCTCCCAAAGTGCTAATTTTTGTGTTTTTATTAGAGACGGGGTTTCACCATCTTGGCCAGGTGGGTCTCGATCTCCTGACCTCGTGATCTGCACACCTGGGCCTCCCAAAGTGCTGGCATTACAGGCGTGAGCCACTGCACCTGGCCCATGATGATTAACTTTGGTCTTTTAAAACAGCTGCCAAGTTGCAACTAGAGATAAATAAATTTAAGTTCCAGTAAATCTGTTCTTCAAACTTTCTATTCTTTCTTGCTATTAGCTTGGTGCAAGAGTAATAGTGGTTTTTAATATTAATTTTAGGTTTCATCATCCACCTAATTTTCCAAGATTATTCCTCTATACTTAGTCCCTTATTCAGGAACCAAAGTCTTCTTTTAATACTAATGAAAATCCACAAATTTAGGATTATGTGAAAGATCTTAATTCTGCTAAAATGTAGGCACAGTTAAATCATAACCAGTCATTTTTCCTTAGCTTGCCTTTCTATAATCATTTACTGCTCCCGAGGTCACATGATTTGTAACTTCCCCAATTGCTCCTATAGATTACATCGCTACTCTCAAAACCTAAGATTGGTCTTTGAGGTATTTTTCAGACTTGTATTCTGGAGACTCACTGACTTCACCCAGACTCATGTCTTATACTAAGGAACCAGCTCAAGAAGGTCCTGAGAACCCCACCAAGAAACTAAGCCTGCAGAGATAATTTGGACATTCCCATGATTTTCTCCCCAACCAGTTAGCAGTACCCATTCCCTAGCCTCCTGCTTGCCAAATTATTTCTAAAAACCCTAGCCTCAGAGCTGTCCAGGTGACAACTTTGAGAACTGTCTCTTCTCTTGTTGTCTTTTTGAGATAGGTTGCTTGATAATATTTAGTCTACCCTTCAATTTCAAGCCAAGTTCCAAAACCTTTTTAGATAGTCTTCTGTATGGCATCAATAATACTTTAATAAGAAAAAACAAGTAATGTGTTTTTTCTTATTATTGTGTAAGAAGTTTTAATTCAGCCACCATAATTAATCAAAATACTGCTTTTACATTGTAATTACTTTGTTAAGTGGAACATTTCCTTCTTAGTTTTATAATTTACATTAATATAATCTTCAATTAGTTTCAGTAAATATTAATGGGAGGAAGTATAGCAGAAAATAATAATTCAACTCTTCCAATTGAGCTCTCAAAATTGATGAAATATATTATAGGAGGCATTGAATTTTGGTAAGATGAACCAAATTGTCTAGAAATGTAATGGTAATTGATTTCATCAGATATTACAATTAAATCTTAATAGAATTTTTTTTTAAGAAAGAACTCAATACAAAAATATACAGAGGAGAAAGTGAGAATGTTCTAGCTTGCTAAATTCTTGGTTGCTATGTTTAAAAAAAATGGAAAATAGAGTTGATCCCATATATAATTTATCTGTACCAAAAATCTAGAAAAATTTAAATTTTGTATGTGTTTAAAATGTATATACTACTATATGTATTTTAAATTGACATTGGAATTACCTTTGAGAAGAAGCTGTTTTTATATGGGTAAAAATTGTGATCAAATTTTAGATGAGAAAACAGAACAAATTTGAGAGGAGAAATCAAGACAAAGAGTCATTTTATATATTGAAAGGAATGATAGAAATTTTACCTTGCTTGCAGTATTATACTTCCACATCTGAAGAAATGGGCAGAGTGGAGGAAGGAAAATGGTCTAACAAATGTGCGGGAGTCTAAGGACTACTTGTTAATAGACAAGGGCATGATTAATATGTGATTATAAATACTTGCATTTTTAAAAGCTAAAGCTCCTCAATTATGCCAAATTTTCTAGTACATACACAAAAATGTTATGCTATGTAGTCTTTTAACATTTTTTAAAAGTATGCAACTGTGCATTGCAGTTATGCAAAAAGGGGAAGGGCTGAAAAATGTTCAGATAAGCCTGAGTCAAACAGAAACAGTATAGAAATTATAAAAAGTACATGCATTTATCAAGAGCCAGAATTTATAGCCATATTTAACTATTATTATTATTATTATTATTATTGTAGAGAGAGAATCTCTCTATGTTGCCCAGGCTGGTCTCAAACTCTTGGACTCAAGGGATCCTCCCAACTTAGCCTCCCAAAGTGCTGGGATTACAAGCCTGAGTCACTGAGCCTAGCCAGGTTTAATTCAAAAATTGTAAAAATTTCTACCCTCATTTCCTGGAGTTCCTGAATAAATAGAAATTTATAAAATGATAATCAATGTAATTTGGGGAAAGATTGGTCAAATGATTTGAGCCTCATGTAATGATGAAGATGATAACAGTAGTTGTAGAGCATCAACAACATCAATAACATTCAGTAAATTTTAAATAGAGGTTGGATTAGATTGTATTTTTTTTATCAAGTATGTTTCCTTTCTTTAGTCATGGTAACAATGACAATGAAATTTCCACAAGAGGTAGCATTTATTTAGGTTTTAAAATTTGGTTCCTGGTAGCATTAGGACCAAGGTTCTGTGATTTTGAAATGACCACAAGAGTGTAATTGGGTACTATAGTAGATTAGTTGAGTAAGAATATTGTCATAAAAACTAAATATGTATTAAAACAAATACTTATTTCATATATATTCCCAGAATCTAATTTCACCTTTGAAATAATCCATGAAACTTATTTTTCATGGAAAGCTTGTGTTTTGAGTATAAGAGGGCAAGGTGCATAAGGTTCTGGAGATAGATTATAGTAGTTCAATTCAGAGGTTGCCTTTGTGTAGAATTAGGACACAGCCTTGGAGACAGAGAAAGTCAGATTCTTTAAAAAACCATTTTAAAGTCAATACTGTTTACCCAAAGAAACTATTTAATTACACATATAAATACTGCAAAATTTAAAATAAATTTATAATAAGCATAATAATCCTAAATTTCCCTATAAATTTTTTCAGACAAATTATCCACATTTTTCTGTACTAATCTATAGTTCTTTTCCTGGAATGATCTGATTTTCTTGAGAGGAAGTTAAGTGTTAGCAAGATGCTTTCTTTTTTTTTTTTCTTCTACTGTGATAAAAAAAGTATTTTTTCGGAAATAGCAGAGAAAGGAAAGTTGGCAGTAATTCCTATTGGCTCCTTGTCACTTGGGAGACAGCAGATATATATTTGTACTCTGGACAAAAGTGAGAGTTTGTAGGTCAATGTTGGGAAAATTTTTAAGCAGAATACAAATTGAAAAGGTCATTTAAGATTAAAAGAATCACTATTTTGTAGCTATATTTACTTTTTTGGTATTTTTTTTCTCACACTTGGTTATTCTTTTTATCTTTCATTCCCCAGGCTTCTCCCCTTTATCCTCCCAACCCAAGTTTGCTTCATGTGCCACAGAAGCCAGTTAGAAAAACATAGTTGTAATGCAAATGTGAAAGGCCAAATTTTGATAAAGTCCGTTTATTTTAACCATTTTATTTATCGAAAATAGGTTTTTTTTTTTTTAAATCCTAGCATTTTGAACAGGATTAGTAATACCCAGTTTAATCTTCTAATATTTTTTAGCGGCATAAGTAGTTTTGGTCATGAAAATAAAAAGTGAATATAAAAACAACTGGATACCTTGTCTAAAAATAATCTTTATCATTATTTCATTTATGAATAAGATAAAAGAAATTTGGAGAAACTATACCAATCTATTACAAATCTTTTTTTCTTTCTTTTTTTTTTTTTTTTTTTGAGACAGTTTCACTCTTGTCGCCCAGGCTGGAGTGCAATGGCACGGTCTCGGCTCACTGCAACCTCCACCTCCCAGGTTCAAGTGATTCTCCTGTCTCAGCTTCTGAGTGACTGGGATTACAGGCACCCGCCACTACGCCCAGTTAATTTTTGGTATTTTTAGTAGAGATGGGGTTTCACCATGTTGGTCAGGCTGGTCTCAAACCTCTTGACCTCAGGTGATCTACCCCATTCTGAAAAAATCTCTGAATAAGTACTGCAATGGCTAGGAAAAATGAAATTGCAATATCAAATGCTGTTAAGGAGGCAGAGTCCCAAGAACATTTTCTTTGCTTGTGACAATGGTACAGCCACTTTGGAAAAACAATTTGGTAGTTATTATAAGGTTAAACATACTTTTACCATATAATCTAGCAATTGTAGTATTCACTATTACTCAGGACCATTAACTTATGCTAATACAAAAACCTATTTGCAGGTGTTTAAATCATCTTTTTATGAACTCCAAAATTTAGAAGCAACTAATACATCCTTCAACAGATCAATGGAATTTTAAAAAAATCTATGGTACATCCATACAGAGGAATGAACAATTTATTCACATAAAAATGAACCTTAAATGTGTTTTTAAGGATAATAATTTAGACCCAAAAGGCTACATATTTTGTGATTGTGTTTATATGATATTCTGCAAACAGCTAAATTTTTGGAACAGAATAAAAGACCTGTTGCTGTCAGGGGTTAGGGGAAGAAGGAGCAATTGACTATAAATTGGTTGCTTAAAAAAATGTCTAGGGTGGTGAAATTGTTCTGTATAATATGGTGGTGGTAGATATGTTACTCTATGCATGTGATTGACTTTTACTGTATGTATTTTTTAATGAAGATGTAGGAACTGAATATAGAAAGCATATGGTGAGAAATAAATCTAACTAAATTAAAATGTATGACAATCTTTATTGAAGGCAGTGAGAAAAAAAAACAGTGGGAAAATGTGTAGATACTATAAGACTAAAGACAAAAAGAACATCAGTAGAAAAACTGGAGAAATGTGAATAAAGTACTTACTTTAGGCAATTATAGTGAACCAATGTCAACTTCTGAAATTTGATAAAGAAACCATTGTCTTGCAAGTTGCTAACTTTTTGGGAAGTGGGAGGATTGGAATATAGTAACTGTATAATCTTTGCAAGTCTCCAGTAAATCTAAAATTATTTTTATGGAAATAATACATAGTAGTGATTCTTTTTTAACATATAAAATGTAGGTCAGTTGATCCATCTTAAAAATCTGCTGAGACTTTTTGATAAGAATGCATTAAATGTGTAGGTCAGTTTGGGGTGCATTGCCATTTATAATTGTAAGACTTCTATCCTTTGGCATAGTATATCTCTCTATTCATTCTGGCCTTCTTTAATTTCTATCAGCAATGTTTTGTAACTTTCATTTTATAGGTCTTACACAATTTTTGTTAATTTATTTTAAAATATTTTATTTTTAAAACTTTTTAAATGGAATCGTTAAGTCTTTCATCCTTTCTAATTTTCCATCTACGTGTTCCATTAATCATTGCTTCTTTTTTTGCCGCCTCAAATCTGTTCAGGAGTCCATCTGTTATTTATCTTCATTTCAATTGTTGTACTTCTCAGATGTAACTTTTACTTCTTTTTCATAACTATATTAGTAGCTTTAAAAATCAGTGTCTGATAAATCCAATATCTGGGCTCACTTGAAGCTAGTTTTTATTGGCTGCCATTGCTATTTGGTACTATATTCTCATATTTTCCTGTTTATTTTCATGTTTAATAGTTTTTTGGTTAAAACTAAACATTTTAGTTAATATAGTAATTCTGAACTGTCTTTTATTTTTCTGAAGGTCATGATTGTTTTTATAAATGTTATCACCCAATAGGTTCTTTTTTTTGCCTCCTAGTCTATATAAAACTTTTGCCTTCTGCTGAGCTGGCTGTTTATAAATAAAGAAATACATTGAAATTCTGAGACAGTTATCAATTTCTCTTAGATTTTACTTGACTCTTTCAGGTCATGCCCATGAGTTTATACATATACAACTATAGAATGTGTAGTTATCTAGATATGGGTTTAGAACTTCTTTCAGCTCTTCTGTGGATCTGTCACTTCTAGGTCTCACTATTAAAATCCTGCCTTGTCTTTGGCCCTTTGAGAACTCAGAATACAATCCTGAACTAGAATACCTGTCAAATTTCTCCATCTCTTTCAAACTGCAGTCTGCCAATTTTAGTTGGCAAAGTTATGGGCTTATCCCCTGTTCCCATTCCAAATCTAGCCTGCCACCCACAACAGTAAAGCTGCTGGGTTTACCATAAACCCAAAGCCTGTAAAGCTATAGTTTTCCATGACCAAGCAAGGAGTGGAGCAGAAGAGGGCAGAAACAGCTCCAGGCAAGATGGTGATAGATTCAGCCTGTATTTTCTCAATCTTTTAGCAGCTTTTAAACAGCAAATGCTTCTCAATTTTTTGTCTCACTGCTCAATATTTAGTGCCTCTAAGTCATTATTATTTTCAGTGTTGTCAAGTTTCCTATGTGTTTTCAGTAAAGGGGAATCGCCCTATACCTTCTCTTCACCATTATGTGAAGTACTCTAGTTAATTCCGTTTAAATTCTAATGAAAATGAAATTGACTTAAGGAGAAAGTCTAACCTTGGTGCTAGTATGCCTTTAGTACTTCTCTAAAATTTTTACTTTGACTCATTTTTTATGGACTGAGGAAGACTTCAGTTTCAGAACTTAGGAGGTTATAGAAAAGATTTTATTTGCATTTTATTATTTGTAGTTTTATTTATATGTGGCATTAGATTAACATTTAATTGTAGTGATATAAAATATTATTTTAAAAACACAAGTCACAGTGGTAAAAAGTTAAAGAAAAAAACATTAAACTATTAATAGTACAAGTTCCTGGGTAATATACTGTAATGGTTAATTTTATATATGAACTTGTCTAGGATAGGGTACCCAGATATTTGATCAAATATTATTCTAGATGTTTTTGTGAGGATGTTTTTGGGTGAGATTTGCTTTTGCAATGGCAAGCTTCAAGTAAAGCAGATTGCCCTCCATAATATGGGTGGGCCTTATACAATCAACTAAAGGCCTAAATAGAGCAAAAGGCTGACTTCCCATCAGCAAGAGAGAATTCCCTAGAAGTCTGCCTTCATACTTCATCTGCACCTTGTTCTCTAGCAGACTGCTTATAGATTTTAACTGAAACTCTCTCCCGAATCTTTAATCTGCCACCCTCCCCCATCAAATTTTGCAGTCAAAAGCTTCCACAGTCATGAGTCAAGTTCTTAAAATCTCTCTCTCTTTCTGTCTCTGCAGAACCCTGACATACATATATTTATATATGTGTGTGTGTGTATATAGGCATACATACATACACACAAATCACGAAATTGGTGTGGATTTTTTTGTTTTGTTATTTTATCAGAAAGATACAGCTATTTTGATAGTGGAACACATGTCACTGAATTTAATCTAAACCATGCTAAATTATGACACACACAAACAAACATTAATTTGGCTACAACCTAACGTTCCATAGTTTCCTGTTTTTATCAATTCTCATCAAATTATTTTATATGCACTTTGTCATACTAGGGAGAGATACAGTTAGAGATAATAAGAGACTCAGAACTGCCTGCACTGTCAAAAAGTAGACAGACATAGGGAACATATGTACTTCTAGGCTGTCTGATATCTAACATCAACTGTACTCAAAGATGGTGAATTTGCTTTTAGAAAAGTTAGAATTTGGGGAGGATTTAAATAATAAAAATTAATCAATTATAATATGAATAAAAACTGAGATTAAAACTTTTATCTATCCTCTTTATACTGCTAACAGAATTGGAAACATGAGTAGTCAATAAATATTAATTTCATTTAAATGATGAATAATAGAAGTAAAAATGGAATTAGATATTGGAACTGCCTTGTCTATCTTACCGTTGAATAAAAACAAAAGCCAGCCTAATTGGTTTTTTTGTTTATGATTTTCAAATCATAAATGACCAAATAGGACATCAATGTTGGTCATTTTTTTTCATACTGTGTAAGTCCATTCTTGACAATGCAATAGCCAGTTATTTTTTAAAACTTACAGGATTTTAAATATAGGACATGCAATAGCCAGTTATTTTTTAAAATTTCTGATTTCCCATCAATAAGAAAAAAAAAAGGAATTGAATTGTTTACCTTGACATTGAGCACGCAAATTTATTTGGTTTGTTTTCTCAGTAAACTTGCAACCAACTGTATAAAATTAGCTTATATTTTGATAAAGAATTGCTGATACTTATAGCAATATTAAAATCAAGCAGTTTATTCTCAAATGGGTTGAGATTATCGTGATTTTTACCGTGCCTACCCTTTTGCTGCTACCCCCCCCTCGGTCTACGTACATATTTTAGTACTCTAGGCAAAGATATTGTATTTTAAGTTTGAAAAAAGAAATGCTTGTAAAGTAAGAAAATGCAATTTCTTATCTGTCAATTCAGCATTCTCCCAAAAGATTTATTAAGTTCTTCTATATTAGCATTTACTGAGCACTTGATATTTGCAAAATATTTCAGTTGTTTTAATTGCTTACTACAAATATAAATGCACTGAATTACTATCTTGGTATAATCACAAAAAACTCACAGGAATAAACCTGCTTGATGTTTTTAAAGTGCTAACGTGGTACTCAGATTACATTTTATAAATTAAAAATAAGAAACATCATAATACTTTCTATTTTTTTCAGTGAACTTCTATTTATTTCTTTATTTGTTGGTTGGTTTGTTTATTTGATTACATCGTACTGGTATGTTAACTCTTAGGAGGCAAGAAATACTAAGTTTGCATTACGTAGTATTGTGTACAATGATAAATTAATCTTTCAGTTAATCACACTTTTTAGCCCTGAAAGAAGCTACTAATATTGTCCTGGGCATGAAGGACAAAAGAAGATCTACCTCCCAAGATTCCTTCACCCTCCAAAATAGAGGTCAGTAACTTTCTCAAGCAGAACTGTGAAGGGAGTAAAGGCTGCTTTACAAGCAGGGATAAAGATGGAATATGAGCATCTCCATTGAAATTGGAATAAAATGAGATTGCCTACTCATTTTAAAAGCCCACCCAAGTAAACCCAGGCTGACCTGGGAAAGTATCCTGGTCCCCAGAGATCCGAATGAAAGAGACCATTGCAAAGAGAGAAGAGTGGTTGGAAAGCTCCCTCCTTAAAACCTGTATCCTAGGAAATGACTGCCTCTACCAGCTCAGTAAAAAGGAGGCCAGGAAAGTAACCTGCTGTGTACCCTTTGAGAACTACCTTCTGCTGCCTGCAGTGAACTTGCCTACAGGCAAAGAGAATTCTGTGGCTATTTTAACTGTATCTAGTTTACTTTCAGGAGTATTTAGTGCCTGGAACAAAAATGAGTAGAACAAAGGAATACCCTAGGAGTGTGATCACAACAGCAAGCTGCCGGCCACATCCTGGGCCATACACTTATTAGCCTTGGCATAATAAATGATGTAGTGTGACAGAGGGGGAGTTTTAGAGTATCAAATTGAAAGGACTGCCATTCCAGAGCTCTAAGCATTTTTCTTCTACCCTTTCTGAATGGATAGAAGTAGGTCTTTACCTGAGTAAAATATGAATGTGAATAATGTGCCACTACAAATTAATAAGGATATATCAAGGATATAGTGAAAATAAAAGAAAAGCTATTCCATATAGGACTGTAATATAACATGTGCTTCAAAGCTTGGATTTTTAAAAGAATCAAACAAAATCTCACTTAATTTTCAAAATTTAGTTATAATTCTAAAAAATGTGATTTTTGTATATTTATTATTCACACTAGTGTGGGAGCTCATTAGAAGAGAAGCTTGATCTAAAAGGTAAAACAATTGAGAGCCAAGTGGACGATGGAAATCGATAAGAAGCAATGGCATTTGCAGGAGGCATGGGCATTCATTGTAGGGACAGGCAGTCCTTTATGCCTCTAACATTCTGAAGTACTGTATCACATAACAACACTGAGTTTCGTGAATAGTTTACATTCATGGGATAGGTTTTCTCTTGATAAAATGAAGGAACCGTGCAGAATATTAAAACAGTTTCTTTCAGTGCAATAACAACAACAACTCATTTTCATACTAAAATGTCATTAGAAAAAAATTATTCAGTGGCAGAATTATTGATAATATCAATGAATAAGTAAAAAGGTAGTGATTCATATCTTGAATTAAACAGTTAATTATATATTGCATTTAGAAAAAAATGATGCAGATTTTGGCAGCCAAAAACATATCTGTAATAAAAATTCTAATGAGGTATTGTGATATGCACTATAAGGAAATATAGCTTAAAATCTTCACCATCATTATCAACGTGCTTTTTAGATTGAGAGCCTTTGGTACAGTATACACATGCATATAGGTAGTATAATCCCTTCCTTCCACATTACCTCCCTACATATGTGTGTAGGTAGTATCTGTCTCCAACTCTTCACAGAACTTTGAAAATTGTATATTAGTATTTTAGTTTTCAATTTATTTTTTTAATCTCATTTTTTAAGTTTCCAATTCGAATCTCCTCTTGTATTGACAAATGTCTACTCTATTCTTAATTCAAGTAACATGGTTATATAATGGATTTCAAGACTGAAGCAGACTTATCCTGCACATATCAAGTATAAATTATAAAACATTCTGTTTAAATGTTTTTATTAAAAATGCATACTAATATTTTTGAAATGCTGTTTGCATGTATCATATGTATATAATTCTTCTGTGTCTTTATCCATCAATGTATGAAAAACAGAGGAAAATGGGAAGTAAGGTAATAAATACCAGGATAAACAGATAAGGATGTAAAAATCACTGTACAAATTCTGAAGCCACGAACTAATAAGACAGCTTTTAGCTTTCTTAACAAAACAAAACATTGAAATCTATCTCTATCCCTCTCTCCCCATCACTGTCTCTTTCTTTCACATGCATGGCTCTGAATATAAATCTTTCCATAATAATTTAAATCAATATAGACTTTAATGAAATGTAGGTGTGATTTGTGGCTGCTAGTTTTATGTGTGCTCATGACTTCTAAGCGGCTGCTGTGAGACATAAAAGACAGATCGAATAGCATGAGAAAGACAGATTTTTGAGAACATCAGGATAGGGTATTAGCTATGAAGCACTAGATGTCTGATAAAAATATGCCCTGAGGGACCAGCCCAATTAAACACCTTTAAGGAAATGAGGTATTTCAGATTAGTTTTGCAGAGATGCTGACAATTTCCTTCAAGTAGTTAACCAAATTCAGCTGAATTGCATTGCCATAGACAAATACTGAATCTACTGCTTCTGGCCTGATAGACTAAAGAGACTGTGTTGATGCATTAAAAGCTTCTTGAATAAATTTTTATTTATTTGCCCTTTTAATTGCTGACCTCTCAACAGGCAAAGTAAATTTTTTAGGATACAAAATAAATCATACACTATAACAGATGTCTTCAACCCTAGGTATGCCTACTCTCAAGGAATAAAAAGATGTTCCAAAGAATATGTAGCACTGATACTTTACTGAGAATTGTGTTCCAGATCTTTAACTTCCTAACGTATTTCTGTCTAAAACTGATGTGTTGAAAGTTCTGAAGTTTAGATTTACCAATGGTTCCGAAGTTTCTTTTCCATTTTGCACAATTGCCTTTTTTTCCCCAAGCTTCCAAAGAAGGACAAATTGATCAACCTCGCAGAGTCCTATCCACAGTCTCATCGATATTCGTGGGCACCCATCAACAAAAGGACAAAAAAGAATGCATAGCTCCTGAGGAAGGGTATAGTGGCAGCAAAGCAACATGATCTGGTTAAAAAATAACTGAGAATCAGTAACAGTCTCATCATAGAGCTCTGTGTACCATATCTATCTACCTGTCTCTTGTCTTGACCATCTCTCTCTCTTTCTCTCTCTCTGCCTTTCTCTCTCTCCCCATCTTTATCTTCATTCTATTTGCCATCTATCTATCATCTATCTTAGAATTTGAATTCAGAAAGGAGATGTGATTGGACTTGTATTAGCACAATCATTTTAAAGTGAATCCCACTATGAAATGTTAAATGTGATGAAGTCAGGCTTTTTGTGAAAGAAAGTAAACTTGTTTGGCTGGTCATTTGCCCAGGAGAAATGCAGGGCAAATGGATTTGACACTGATTGTTTTCCATAAGTTTAATGAAAAACTTTCTAAACAAATGTTCATAATAAAATAACAATAACAACAGCAACAATAATGATAATATTTACAGCACATATCCAAAAATGCTAGAAATCCATCTTTCTAATTAAAGTTAATGGCAAAAAATGCAGCAATCACTTTAAACGTGCAGGTCATGTACATTACTGAAAATTTTTAAGGAGCTCAGGAGCCAAAGTTTATGTGGAATGCTTTTTTTCTCATTTGGTTCTTGAACGTACTTGGTTTCTGACAGTATTTTAAAATTAATTAATTAATTTTAGATGAGTACGTCATTACTCAAAGAAAGAATAGAAATCACGGGATTTGCGCTGGAACATACACTACAGGGAACACATTAATTTGTAAATTGCTATGAAATCCAAATACATGACACACTATTTTGGACTCATAGTACATTCGTTTGGAAAAGAACTTAGAAATATAATCCAACCCTCTTCTTTAGTGGTCAAGAAAACTGAGGCTGATAGAGAAGTCAGCTACCCATAGTCACAGGTACTGTTGGTCGCAGAGTTGGGACTTCAGCTCTGGATTTCTGACTAATTTTCTTCTTTCCACTCCACCAAACTTCCCCTCTTTATACAGAAAGTTTATTATCCACTTTAAAAATTGCAGGTTAAGAATTCAATAAATGGATATGCAAAACTAGTGGAGAGCTGCACCTCATAATTGTGCCTAGAAGTTATTTTGTCAATAGAAATGAAGAATAGTTAGCACTATGGCAGCCATTTGTTCATAATTAGTGGAAGCAGTCATCATTACTTTCTTATTGACTAGCTTTGTTGCATCAGGCTTCTAACACATTAAGTTGCTGTATTTCAAAGGGGCACATTGTAACTAGTTGTGTCTTGTAGAATCTTAAGCGTTTATATTTGGAAACCATCTCATTGGAAATAAAATCTACCTACAGATTCAGTCCTATTGTGTTCTGTTATTATTGTTGTTTACATTTGTTGTATTCCTACTGAAACATTTTATTGGGATAATATCAGTAACTTTACATGAAATTTTCATTTCATGATTTGCTGATTGCATTAACAAGAGGTCTAAGTTCTTGCAGCCCATGACTGCTCATTTCTTTGTTGATTTACTTACATTATGCTTAAATCTGTAGATTATCCCCTAATTTCAGTAAACTAATTTTTATTAGAAATTTAACTGTCTTCTTTAATTAGGATATGTCATAGACCAGTCTACGTTTCCTTGTCATGTCACAATTAAAAATTGTACTCGACTTTCTAAAACAAGTCTTGAAAATGCTTACATATGATTCAAATACATTGCTAAATTTGAGCTGTGTCTATACAAATATCAGTATAACTTACTGTTTAAGGGGACAGGTTTTTAAGTCAGACTTTTTTAGTTTAATTCTAGTTCAACTATTGAACCACTACCCATCATTAGGCAAGTCAAATACTTCTCCAAGCCACAGTTTCCTCATTTTTAAAAGTGGAGAAAATAATTGTAACTAGCCAACCTATTTGTTTTGAGGATTAGATGAGATAGTCTATGCAAAGTTTTAGTATATTTCCTAGCTATGAGTAAGCATTCTATAAGTGTTCCTTATCTTTATTATTGATTTATTCTTTGATCTAGCAAAAAACAAATGTGTTCCATTTCTTAAAAATCAGTACAAGGTCCACATTTTCTTATGTCTTCTCTAAATATTTAGCCTATATTGATTTTCGTCTTTCCTGAATTGCATTTAGATTTTCTACCCCATTAATATATCATGCAGTGTTATGTATTTTTAAAGGCATAAGCTGTGTCACTCATAATGGAATATAAGTTCCTTGAGGCCGGGTTCCAAAATGCTAAATACCTAGTAGCTAATTAACTCAAAATCCCTGTTTTACTTATTAAACTGTAGAATGAGTATGAAAGCTCTTGTTTTAATGGCAAAGCATATAATTTCTTTAAATATAATTTTACCACAACTATAAAAAGGAAAAATATTCAAGGGCAGATATAATGAGAAAAGAGATGCCAGCAAAACAATTTTGAAATTTGCAAATCAGGTACCTAAATAGTAGCAGACTGAGAAGTCAGAGGAAATGGAAAATTATGCCAGCAGTGGAGGAAGCTCGTAAGCAAGACTATATGCATCATGGAATCCCAAAGAGGCTCAGGCATTTGGAGTATGAAATATACATGGAAAAAAAGGCAGTAGTCTGAGAGTCTCCAAAGAAAATTGTTGGAAGTTGAAGGAGAAGTTAGATCCCAAGATCCCATGGAGAAGACTAGAGATTTATTTCCTGGAAAGTTTGAATAAAAAGGGACGTAGGGACCCTGGGCATACTTCAAGGGGATTTTCATAATAAAAACAGTATTGTCATCAAATATTTCTTTTTGCCACTTAGTTCTAAAAATATTACAGAAACTAACCAGTTCAAAGGAAAACTCATAATGTTCCAGCCACCTTCACTCTACGGAAAAATCCTAAGTTAACAATGCAGAGAGTTTATCCTATTTTCTAGAGCCTATTCATATGAAGATATTTCCTAACATGAACAACACAAAATAAAACAAATAAAATACACTGAAGAAATATACTGTTCAGAAAACAGAAAACAACCTAAATAAAATAAACACGTTGCAATAAATACATTTAAAGAGGATATGTACATATATAAGTAAACAAATTTCTATAAAAACATTTAGATTTTAAAATTCCTCTTTGAAATTAAAGATAAGATATCATAAAATAAAACAGAAAAGAAAAACCTTGAACAATTAAAATGAGAAAAGCTTCCCCTAATTAGAATACAAACATACAAGTTGAAAAATAATAAAGCAATCATAGGAAGCCTAGAGGATCGGCCCAGGAGGTAAACTGAATAGAAAGAGAATAAAGAACAAAGTAATAGCTAAAGAAGCAGGCGGGATATTCAGCAAAGAAATAATTTTAAAATGTTCAAAATTGAAAAGACCTGAGTTCCTTGATAGATACACCCTGCCAAGTATTCACCACAGTGGAGAAAATCCAAATCACATACATGCATCATCATCAAATACCAGAATGCTAGGCACAAAGAGAAGAATCCAAAAGCTTACAGAGAGAAAAATAACATGCAAAAGTTCAGATATTAGAACAACGTTGAATTTCTTAGCAATAATACTGGATGCTAGGAAACAATGGAATAATGTTTTTAGATTTTCCAACTAGAAATTTATTCCCATCACGATTATTCAAATATAAAGTTAGAAAAAAAAAGACTTTTATATTATTTTCAAAGAAGATTACTATGCATTTCAAGAATTCCTGGAGAATGCGCTATACCAGAAGAAGTCAAAGCAGGAGAAGAAAGAAAACAGAATGACTATCATGACACCAGAAAGTGAAAAAGTAATCCACATGAGAAGAGTGTTAGGAGATTTCAGGAATATACTTGTACTTCAAGTTGAGAGAACAACTAGTTCAGATTAGATCAGGAAGTAGGCATGAGAAAAATATCTCTACAAAAACAATGAAAGTGGTAGACTACCTGATATGTTTGAATATATTGAGAGGAGATTTATACTTTCTACAGGAGGAGCATAGAGAGTCAAGCAATTTTTTTAAAAGGTAATTATTAACTCCAGAGAAGACAAAATTGTATATAAGAAGTGATATATAATCAAAATATTCTACATCATTAAATTGTTGATAAAAATTACATGTCAAAACATCACAAATACTGAGATTAATGTCATAACCAAAGTATAATATAGTTATAATAGACTTCAAGAATAAGACAATATAAGGCGTTTGTGTCTAATGTGTTAGAGGACATGGTAACTCAATTCTAATTTTGTTTTTAGGGAAGACAATGATAATACTTGAAAGACATTCAGTAACTATCTACATGATCATTTTATTTAAAATTATTAAGATATATATCCAGGACATTCCACTAAAACGTAAGTGGTTGGCTTGATAGAATGAAAATACAGGAAGGGGAGGTGTAATACAGGAACTGCTGTTTTTAATTTTTAAAGCGTAACAGGATTATTGACTTTAAAAACTTTATACAAACACACCCTTAAAAATAAATAATAAAGATGCACACATATAAAGTAATATAAACTCTAATAAACATAATAAAATTATGGTAATAAGTGAAGGAAATTATGAATTCTGTCAGGAAGAAGTGAAAACATTTCTAGAAAAAAATTGCATATGAGTGGGGTTTGACTAGCACACCTAACAGCATACAATTCTGCATTTGAGCCGTCTCCATACAGTTGGTCAATTGTTATTGCCATGTGACCCCAATGAAATCCATATATCCCAAAGGATGATAATTAAGTTAATCTGTACATGTACATTGAGGTAGTTGGATGAATGCTGCAGGGGTTTGCTCCAAATACAAATCATAATTATGTCTTCTGATACTACTGTTAGAATTTTCTGCCTGTGAAAGCTTCCTTTCTACCAACTGTATTTCTTTCCTCATGCCTCAGGAAAGTTACTTTTCTCCCACTAATATTCCACACTAGAGAGGAGCAGTAGGTTTTAACTGCAGCACATATGTTTGAAGACGAAACATTGAATTCTAAGTGTTTTATGTAGACCTGCAGCATGCTGTTTGCTAGAAATTGAGAGTCTGGTAAGTGAGTCTTTCAACATTTCAGAGTTAACTTCCTTTTGCCTAAAACAAAATGGCTTTTCACTTCTCACTACGACACATTGTTCATTGCAAACTAAAATTTTTGTCTACCTATTTCAGACCGCCTCCAGCAGAGGAACTAACAAAGCTATTGAACTTTCAAAGTAATATGGAATTCTGACAGTGATTTTGGCAGCCTCTTTCATGAGCTTTATTTTCTAGGGTGTGTTTGTAGTTCTGTCTGGAAAAGAAAGGAAAACAGGATTGTAAGCAACTATCTGTGGGAAAGAATGTAAGAACACATAAGGAAGGCATATAGTGATGGGCAAACTTTAAGGTGTATAGATTTGATGTAAAGAGGAAAGAAGATTTGCTAATAAGTTTTCCACTCTTCAGAGCTATGATTTCTAAATCTAAAATCAGTTGCTAGTACTATCACTGAGCCTGATAACAGAATTGAAGGATTTGAAAAAACAATGTATAAAATGAATAGTTTATAAGTAAATATGAAGTTGAATAATCAGAATTATTTGGTTCTTTATTAAAGCTGCAGAGCTAGAAGGACATGAATGATCATCATTACACTCAGTTTCTTCATGTTTTCTCTACAGTCATTAGCATAGTTATATATGTGACAGATAGATATATTCTAATAAAGAAAATATATTTACCTTTTTAATAACAATTTTTGCTTTGTCAGCATGAAAATGAAGGTAGATGGAATACTATGTAAGACAATATTTTGTAGTTAGGAATAGAGAAACTGAAAATTCAGGACAAGCACAGAAACAGGAACTATATCCTTAAGTCAAAGAATCTTGTTAAACCAAAGCGCTCAGGGAAACTAGAATTCAGTTTTTGTTCGTTTGTTTTATTTTTATTTTTGTATTGCTGAAACTTAGTAGAAAAAAGATAGCAGGATCACCCTGATGGCTCAGAAATAGCTTTGATGGCCTAATCCTTACTCTTTTTCTGGTCCTCAAGGATATTTACTGAGCGATAAAAATAAAATTAACAGAGGACCCAAGAAGCCACAGCTAGTTTTATCCTCCACCAAAAAGAACTGGAGCCTCTTGGAACTTCTTGTTTGACCATAGATAAGTTTGCTTTATTGGTCTAGGAACATGGAACAAATGAAAATGTACCGGATTTCAGAAAACTGGTAAGGCAACATGCGTGCTGTAGGTTCTGATTCTTGGGTATCAAGTCCCTCAAGAATGATTCCTAAATTTGCATGTGGTGTTGGCAGCTTGGCCTTGAACATAACTATATTTGCAAATATCCTAGTGTTGACTTCATTGCTTCTACACAGAAAGTTAGAAAGGGGGTGGATAAGAATTTATTGAATCATTATTAAAAAATAATTAAGAATGTCCTCAGCGGAGCTTGCAGTGAGCCAGGATCGCACTACTGCACTCCAGGATGGGTGATAGAGCGAGACTCCATCTCAAAAAAAAAAAAAAAAAAAAATGTCCTCAGGACACTGGGGAGTCCTGGGATGAAAGAAATAATTGAAAATTAAACTACTAATATTGGAAGTAAATTTTGAGAAATTTATTCAGCTCTTTTTTTTTAATTTGGGAAATGATACTAGAGACATTGTAGTGATATTAACTTTCTTATGATGAATCTCTTTTCTTATTTTAAACAAATAAAAATGTTATACAAAAAATATAAAGAAAAAACTAAACAATGATCTTTCAATGTTGGAGCAAAAGTCCTTGCAAGAGAAATCTTCAGATACGTTAAACAAAAAAGAAAAAGTTGGAGTGGCCCACAGGAGAAGCGATGTGTACCTTGAAGGCTGATGTTCTAACAGGAGTCAAGGCTTTAGGTCTCATTCTCAGAGGGGACCTGGGACAATAACCCTTGTGGAAAACTAAGAGTGTGAAAAGCCTCACACACTAGCTTGATGATTTGGCATAAAAGCATCAGGTTGCCCTGATACATGAGTGGAATACACTCTTATCTTTGGAAATCATAATCCATACACAATTCTGCGAATGGATGCTGGGTGAAATATGTGCAATACCAAAGTAATGAAGCAGGCTAAGCTGAAAATCAATCAAAGAGCTGATCTGGATCTATTGAGTTCTATGGGACTCTGGCCAAGGAACCCAAAAACCTGTCCTATACAGAAACCTCTAAAACCTAGGGAATATGTAGAACACAGAAAAGATAAAAAAACAGATCTAATTCCAAAACTGGTATAAATACTGTTCCTATATTGATTCATTCAATTCAAGAAAGGTATTTCAAGATATCCAGGATTAAGAGTTTGAAATTCACTGAATATTGCTGAAAGAACTGCTAAAAGATTTAGTTAGCAAGAAGGAAAATAAAGCCAGAAGTTAAGACTGATACAAAGGTAGTAATGGTGAGCAAGGAAAATTATAAAACTTATAGAAGAAGATAAATAATTAGGTATTAAATACTGAATAAAATAACAAATATGAGGGATTATAATATGTTAATAATAAAATGTTGATACTGTAATAAAAACGTTGAATAGGTAAGGGAGCATTTAGGGAAGACTCCAAGATTCTTTAAGTATTAGCAAAAGGTGCAAAGACAATGACTGCATTTAGGCTTTGCTTGGCAAAATATAAAGTTATTTGTTTTAATCAGAATCAATTATATTAAGTGCTGCTACGGACAAAACTGGCAATAGCAGTGGCTTAATAATAAGAATTTATTTCTAACTTACACAAAGTCTCATGGGAGTCAAGCAGCTTTCTTCCATCTTAAATCTATCTTCTGTGGCAAATGTGTCCTGCAAGGATACTGCGGCAGTGAAAAAGAGGTACACTGCCTTTTAATCGTTTCATCTTGAAAACAAACTAATCACTTCTTCTAATTGTCCACCACCTCAAATGCCTCCACTGTAATGACAAGGGAAGCTGGGAATGTGTGCAAAGGATAATTTGTGAGTCAAAAGTACATGTAAATATTTACCAAAGAATAGAAATAGAATATGCAGCATTTAAACAAAGAAAGGATAAATGTAAATAAAGAAAATATAGTAAAATCAATATGGCAAAGAAAGGAAATGTAACAAAACTAAGGGAAATTGTTAAATACAAGCGACGAAATAAGGCTATATAACTCCAAACATATCAGATATCCAAATAAAGTAAAATATATTAAATTCTCATCAATAGAGAATCACATTCAAAATATCAATCTGCTTTTTACTAGGGACATATCTAAAATATAATATTACAGAGATTGAAAATGCTCAAAATGAGGGTATAAACATTAAATAAAATTTAAGTTAATATAACATTAGAATGTAATATTATAATAGAAATATCAATACTATTAGAATATAATATGAAAACAAGCTAAAATGGACATATCTTAAGACAATGCACAATAAATTTATAATAATTATGACCTAAATAATAACATCAAGATTTATGAAATAAAATTTGAGATAACTGTAAACAAAAATGACAAATCTAAATAATAGAGTGAGATTTTAAAATACATTTCTTAGAAATATATAGATGAGAAAGAAAATATTGAGTAAGGGTGTAGAAAATAACACAAAGAAGTAGGTGTCACCAACAACACAGACAGGTTATTTGAGAACAAAACTACCAGAAGAGGCTGATAAAGGAAAAAAGCAATCACACTGTACGTTTATGTAATTAAAAAAGGGAAAGTATCTCATTCGGATTTTAAATAGCATAAGATACTATTATTCTCAGTAATTTTAAGAACATAAATATATATATATATATATATATATATATATATATATATATATATATAGACAATACAAAAAAGTACGTGCATTTGCCACAAAGGATAATATAATTATTAAAGAAAATAAAACAGAAATCAAAAACATCCTTCATAAAAGCTCCAGAAGGTTAGCAGTTGACTTCCACCCCTGCAGCTTTATCGAGGTATGTTTGGCAAATAGAAATTGTATATATTCAAGGTATATGACGTTGTTTTGATATATGTATACACTGTGAAATAATTACCATAATAAAACTAGCACATTCCTCACCTCACCTAATTACTTTTTGTGTTTGGTAAAAACACTTGATATTTGATAGCTACTGTTTTAGGAAATTTCAGGTATACAAAATGTCATGATTAACTGTAATCACATCCTTACATTAAGTATCCTGAACTTATTCATCTCTCTGCTTCCCCTACCCCAGCCCCTGGTAACCAGTCTTCTACTCTCTGTTACTATGAGTTTGACTTTCTTTTAGATTCCAGATATAAGTGAAATTGTAGTATTTGTTTTTCTGTGCCTGGCTTATTTAACTTAACATAATGTCCTCCAGGTTCATTTATGTTGTTGCAGTTGACAGGATTTTCTTCTTTTCAAAAGTTGAATAGTATTCCATTGTCTATAATATCTTGTTTTCATTTTCCATTCATCTGTTGATGAACACTTAGATTTATTCCACATGTTGGCTAGTGTAAATAATTTTGCAATGAACATAGAAGGGGAGATATCTCTTACACTAGACATATTGTTTCATTTTCTTTAAACATGTACCTCAAAGTGGGATTGCTGGATCATGTGGTAATTCTATCTTTAGGGTTTTTTTGTTGTTGTTGTTTTTGTTTGTTTTCTTTTGGAACTGCCATATTGTTTTTCATAATGGCTAAGCCAATTTACATTCCCATCATCAGTGTACAAATGTTCCCTTTGTTCCACATCCTTACTAAAATGTGTTGTCTTTTAGCTTTTTTATAATGGCTATTCTGACAGGTGTGAAGTGGTATCTCATTATGGTTTTGATTTGTGTTTTCCTGATAATTAGCGATGCTGGGCTTCTTTTAATATATGTGTTGGTCATTTGTATGTGTTCTTTGGGAAAACGTCGATTAAGGTCCTTGCCCATTTTTTAATTGTTTTCAGTTGTTTTTGTTAGTTTGTTTTTGCTTTGTTTTGCTGTTGCATTCTGTGAGTTCTTTATATATTTTGGATATAAAATCCTAATCAATTATATGGTTTGCAAATACTTTCTCGCATTTAGTAGGCTAGCTTTTCATTTTGTTGTGTGTTTTCTTTGCTCTGCAGAAATATGAAAAAGAAAAAAAGGGCATCCAAATCATCAAGGAGTAAGTAAGTCTTTGTTTACAGATGACATTATATTCAGAAAACCCTAAAGACTCCACCCAAAATATTGTTAAAACTAATAAACAATTAAAGCTGCAGATACAAAATCAACTTTAAAAAGTCAGTTTAGTTTCTATACACTAACAAAACACTATGTCAAAGAGAAATTAAGAAAATGATCCCATTTACAATAGCACCAAAAGAATAAAATACTTACAAAGAAACTTAATTGACTTGGTAAAACATCTGTACACTGAAAACTACAAAATATTGATGAAAGAATTGAAAAAGACACCAGTAAATGGAAAGATATTCTCTGTTTGTGGATTAGAAGACTCAATATTGTTAAAAGTTTCATACTACCTAAGGTCATGAACAGATTTCATTTAATCTCTATCAAAATTCTAATGACATTTTTCACAGAAATGGAAAAAAAATAGAAAAATTTGTGTGGACCCATGAAGAAAGTTGCTAAGACAATCTTGAGAAAGAATAAAGCTAAAGAAATCACAGATTTGGAATCACAGATTTGAAATCCTGATTTCAAACTATATTACAAAACTATAGTATTCAAAACCGTATGGTACTGGCATAAAACAGTCACATCAACCAAATGAACAAACAGAGAACCTAGAAATTCACCCATGCATATATGACTAGCTAATTTTTGACAAAGACACCAAGAACACACAATGGGGAAATTACTGAACCTGAAATATTTTCCAGTCACCCATGAGGGGAAAAAGACAGAAACTTCAAAGAAGCAACAATAAGACAAAAATCTTACTACTTAGCAGAAATTGTAGAAGCCAGAAGTCAATGGAAAGTGCTAAAAAAACTGTAAACATACAATTTTACAACCAGCCAAACCATCTTTAAAAATGAATGCAAATAGACATATTTCTAATATAAACGAAAATTGCAGAATTCAAAGGCAACAATTCTGTACTAAAATTTGAAAAGAAAACTTGAGGACTTCCAGGCAAAAAAAATCGCAAAATCATCATTATGCTAAACACACACACTCACAGAAAGGGCAAATATGAGGGTAAACTAAAGTTGTATGAGTTTTTAAGCTTCTGTAATGCCAACAACTTGGGAGGCCAGATGGTAGGATTGCTTAAGGCCAGGAGTTTAAAAGCAGCCTGAGCAACATAGAGAGATCCTGTCTGTTAAAAAAAAAGTTTTATGGGTTTTTAAACGTGAAATATTGTAATATATGTGACACGACTATTTAATTCATCTGAAGTGATAAAGATAACATGTGGTGAGGTCTGGCATTGTCCAGGAAAACGCAACTTTACTATTTTAAGGAATCTTTTGAGAAAATAAGGATGCATAATCTCTCTATTAAAGGAGAAAAAAAAAGATATTGACTAACAAGTTCCCCAAGAAGAAACAAATGAGAAAAAAAAAATTAATCAAAATAAAGGCAAAAAGGAGAAAGTAAAAAAGATAGCAAGTAGAATAATTAGGAAATAAATAGCAAGTTGCTGGTCTTAAATCCAAGTATCTTGGCAATTTCATTAAGATGAAAATTTAATACTCAACGTTAAAGACAAAATTTAATGGGCTTGAAAGAGAAACAGAAGAGAAATTTTGTGCTGCAAATAAGAGCCAAATATTTAACATAAGATTGCAGAAAGACTAAAAAAAAAAAAAAGAATGTGAGATGATATATTGCTCAAATACTTATCAAAAAACTATTCATGTTTAAAGTAAGAAGTATTATCACAGACGAAAGTGATAGACTATAATGTTAATCAATATAATAGGAAGATATATCAACCCAAACTGCTTATATGCCTAACTAAATACTAATAGACCTACAGATAAAAATACACCTACAATAATTTTTGAAGATTTTAAGGTAACTTCCTCAGTACCTCAAAGAACAAACAGATATAAAAAAGTAGAGGTACCAATGATTTGAAAAATGCACATGAGAAACTTAAACTAATTGAAACATTGGGAATGCTGAAGGCAACACATGCACAATTCTCATTATTTTCAAGATCACAAGTAACATTTATCAAAATTGATTGCATAATGGGCCATAAGCCATGTTTCAACGAATTTCAAGAACTAAAACCATACAGAATGTATCTCTCCACATTGGAATTGGCAAAGAAATCACTCCAAAAATGAAACGCAGCAAATATAAGCTGTTTGGACATTATGAAATAACATAAAAATACTGTGAGTCAAGGAAGAAATAACATAAAAATTAGAATATATTTAAGCTGAATAATTATGACAGTGCAATAAATCAAAATTAGCGCAAGTTAAATGCAGTACTTAAAAAGCAATTTGGAGCTATAAATGCATTCAGTAGTAAAGATAAAGGGCTGAAAATCAATAAGGTATCCTACTCAAATTAAAAAAAAATCTTTGTGTAAATTAATCCCTCCAAAATAAAAGACAAAAATGATAATGATACGAGCAAATATTAAGGAATAAGAGAACAAATATAATTTTCTATAAAAATTAAGTTATACATTGTTTCTTTGATAAAACGAACAAAATTAGTAAATGCATTAACACAAAAAACAAGAAAAAAGAAAGTAAGCACAAATTCCTGACTCAGATATCAAAAAATACATTATTAAAGATTCCTTAGATGTTTAAAAGATAAGAGATAGTATGAACTTTTTTTTCAAAAACAGACAATTTCAATACAGTCCTTGATAATCACAGCTTATCAAACCATATACAAGAGAAAAAGAACAGATAAATTAATTGTATATCTATCTTTAAAATGCTGATCTTACACAATCCCATCTAGAAAATATATCTAAAAAGAATGTTATTCTTCCCAACACATTTATGAGGCCAGCAAAGCATTGATTTAGACAGCTTTCAAGGACATTACAACAAAACAAAATTATAGGTAAATGTCTTTTTGAATATAGATACAAAACACTTAAACCATATAAAGGATAACACATCACAGCCAAGAGAATTTTATTGCACAAATGCAAGTACGATTTGACATTCAAAAATTAATCAGTGTAATTCACCACATTAGTAGAATCAAGCTGAAAAAATTCAGAAGCAGAAAAATCTTTTGATCGAGTTTAATACCACTTTATTATTAAAACTTCTCAGGACACAATTTTAAAAAACTTTAGCAAACATTAGAAAGTAAGTAAAAATATACATACTAATAGCACCAACAAATATTAATAACATAAAACCATGTAATTAGGGGAAAAATAACACCATGGATATAAAGTAGTAAGAACTTTGGTACAAGATTGGTCAAAATGTAAATTGGTACAATTTCTTTAGAATTTGGCACAACTCACTAAAAGTAATTATATGGATAACCTTTGTTCTAGAAATGGAATTTCTAGCAATATATTATAAGAGAAATATAAACTTAGGTGAATACAAAGACAGAAAAATGTTATTAATAATTTTATTCATAGTAGCCGCATATTGAAAATAAGGTCAATGTTTAGCAACAAAAAATTGATAGTACAGTATTATTTTTAAAATAAAATATTATAAAGCAATAAAAATGATGAATTCTGCTACACATAACAACACAAACAAATCTCACTGATGTGATGGAGACTGAAAGGAGCTAGACTTTTAAGAGTACACATAATACACAAATATATTTCTGCTGTGTTCAAAAGCAGGCAAAACTATCTGTCTTTAGTGAGAGGACTTACTGAGTTAAAAGATAGGTTGGTCATAGCTTCATATCAATGAAACCCACGAGGTTATGTATATATTCATAAAATATTCATCAATACATACAGTAAGATTTGTGAACTGTATGTGAACTAAACCTCAATAATAGTTCAAAGAAAGGGTTAGCTTACAATATTTGCAGAGAAAATGTTCAAAGTCCAATTAAAATCTATGAAAGATGAGTAAGGTACTATTCAAAATGTGATCAAAATTATACATTAGTTAGAAATACATTTAACAAAAGTTTACATTTTTCTTTTCTTTTGAGACAGAGTCTCACTTTGTTGTGAAGGCTGGAGTGCAGTGGCACAATCTTGGCTCACTGCAACCTCTGCCTCCTGGGTTCAGGCGATTGTCCTGCCTCAGCCTCCCGAGTAGTTGGGATTACAGTCACTTGCCACCACACCCGGCTAATTTTTGTAATTTTAGTAGAGACAGGGTTTCACCATGTTGCCCAGGCTAGTCTCGAACTCCTGACCTCAAGCGCTTGAGAGACCTCGGCCTCTCAGAATGCTGAAATTACAGGTGTGAGCCATCGCGCACGGCCAGAAGTGTACAAAATTTTATAGAGAAAATTAATAGAGAATGTAGTAAACGTTGTTTGACTACCCAAGGGCTTTCCAAATTCATTTCCAATTTATGTTTATGTGTATACTATTTTATACCCATTAGATTGGCAAAAATCAAATTGAATAAAAATGCTCAATTTTAATGAACATTTGGAAGGCCTCACATCGCATAAACATTTTATGGACGTTTAAATATAGTTAGCCACATTAGAGAGCAAATCAGGAATTTTGAGTACTTTAAAAATATCCATATGTTATGATTCCAAAATTAAAATTTTAAATGTATAGCCTAAAGAAGTTCTTGCAAATATGCCTATGAGAAATGTAAAACGTTTGCTTATGGTAGCATCATTTAAAATTATGCTATTTGAGAGCATGTATGAAATTTATCCATGGATAACTGGATAAATAAAATGTAGAGCATTATAAAATAAATATTTCAGGTAAAATCAATAAACCAGACATACATGTATTATCATGGGTAACCTGCAAATAATGTTTAATGATAAAAATGCATGTTAAAGAATGGCACTTCCACTATATTATTATTCATATTATACTATATATTGTTTGACAATACGTAGAAATAGTAGTATATTTAAAAATGATAAAACATTATCCTTCATATCACTGTAATTGCAATTGCCTAATTTTATTTTTTTTAATTTAAGATTAGGAAATAACAAAGTTTCAGGAGGAACCACATGTATATATAAATATATATATATAAAACCACCATTATATATATATATATCACCATAGATTATGATGTCATATATATATATAAACCACCATTAGTGTTATATATATATGACACTATACATATGTTAGCATCATATATATATATATATATATGACTCTAATGCTGGTTTATATATATGACATCATAATCTAAATGTATATATATGACATCTAAACTAAATATGGCATCTTGATTAATCTTGTGAATGTGCTTATTTTGGTACCCATATTTTAATAAATGTAAACTATCATTTTATTATCATTTCTATACCATCTCTTAGCAGATTCTGGAGAAGTAGTATGAACAAGGAAATTTACAGAGTATCCATTTTTTTTAGGAAGTCTGTACTATATTTTGTGAAGGCTGTATATTAAATACAGGTATCACTCGTGGTAGGCCATTCTTGTATTGCTATAAAGAAATACCTGAGACTGGATAATTTATAAGAAAAGAGGTTTAACTAGCTCACAGTTCTGCAGGCTGTGCAGGAAGCGTAACACCAGCATCTACAAGTAGTTTATATTTTATTACATTTCTTAATTATTAAAATATCCCAGAATTAAACCTCTTAAATTTTCTATGACTTTATAGCAAAACTTATTTTTAAAAATCTCCAGCAATGTTTTTAGTGTTATTTTAATAACAAATTTATTTTAATTTGTGCCATACGATTTTATTTTATCCATTTTTACATAGAACAAAAAACAAAGCACTTACCAGTAATATGTAGCTTTTGCCTTTCATTAAGAAAGAAACTTCATTTTAACAGTATTGATTCTTCCTATCCATGAACAAGAAATGTTTTTCATTTGTTGGTGTCATCTCTAATTTATTTGAGCAGTGTTTTGTAATTCTCATCGGAGAGATTTTTCACCCCCTGGTTAGTGGAATTCCTGGGTATTTTATTCTTTTTGTGACTATTTTGAATGGCACTGTGTTCTTGATTTGGGTCTCGGCTTGGATGTTGTTGGTGTATATGAACATTAAAGATTTCTGTACATTGATTTTGTGTTCTGAAACTTTGCTGAAGTTGTTTATCAGATAAAGGAGGTTTTGGGCAGAGATTATGAGGTTTTCTAGGTATAGAATCATATTATATAAAAATGGGGATAACTTCCCTTCTTCCTATTTGGATGACTTTTATTTCTTTCTCTTGCCTGATTGTTCTGGCCAGGACTTCCAGTACTATGCTGAATAGATGTGGGGAGAGAGGACATCCTTGTCTTGTGCCAGTTTTCAAGGGAAATGCTTCCAGCTTTTACCCATTCAGTATGATGGTGGCTGTGGTTGTGTCATAGATAGCTCTTATTATTTTGAACTATGTGATTGGACAATTCCTGGAAGAGCTTGAAACAGAATTACTATTCCACTCAGCAATCCATTATAGATTATATGCCCAAAGGAATATAAGTCGTTCTACCATGGAAACACTATTCACAATAGCAGAGACATGGAATCAAGCTGAATGCCCAGCGATGGTAGATTAGAAAAAGAAAATGTGGTACATATATACTATGGAATACTGTGCATCCATAAAATGAATGATATCATGTCCTTTACAGCAACATGGATGGAGCTGGAGCCCATTATCCTAAGCAAACTAACACAGGAAGAGAAAACCAAATACCACATGTTCTCACTCATAAGGGGAAGCTAAATGTCGAGTATACATAAACACAAAGAAGAGAACAACAGCACCAGAGCTTCTTGAGGGTGGAGGGTGGGAGGAGGGTGAGGATCAAAAAAACTGCCTATCAGGTGCTATGCTTATTACCTTGATGATGAAATAATATGTACACCAAACCCCCCATGACACTTAATTTACTTAAATAACAAACTTGCACATGTATTCCTAAACCTAAAATAACAGCTTTTTAAAAAAGAAAAGAGTAAAACTTCAACAGAGTTTTCTAAATTGTTATTACCAAGTTTGGACTGAGTGTTACATTATCTTAAATATAAATGAAAAGCACGTAGTGTTTATGGCTGGATGTTCAGCTTTCATATGTAGACTGCTAAACATGATTGATTGTTCCACAAAATTCTTAGTTAATAATGTCTCAGGACATAGTTTATTCTTATCTGAAATTCTCTGTTAACTTTGCAGAGTAGAGATTACATCATCTTGTTTTACCTCATAATATGGCTGCCAGGGCTTATAATTATGGTAGTAGTGCAGGCTTTACCAACCCCTTAGTTTTTGCTTTTGTTTTTGTTATTATTATTGTAATCACTCTGGTATTTATTTTTAGGTATTTTTTAAAGCCACTGTTTCTTATAGTGGAAGTTAGATAAGTTAAAACTGGATATATTATATCCTAAAGTATTTTAATTGGATCAAACTGTTGTTAGTCAAAATATGTTGAAAGCCAGCAAAGCAGTGGATGACCTCATTTTGCAAATTTCTGCGTTGTGTAAATTTCATGATGCACTGCCAATACTTCATTTAAAATTTATAATATATGATATGTAGACTGAGTTGGGCACTCCTGGGAAATCCATGTATTAAATATTAGTTATGCTATTATTGATTCTTTAAAATAATAATAAGGCCAGACTCACACCTGTAATCCCAGCACTTTGGGAGGCCAAAGCAGGTGGATCATCTGAGGTCAGGAGTTTGAGACCAGCCTGGCCAAAATGGTGAAACCCTGTCGCTACTAAAAATACATAAAATTAGCCAGGTGTGGTGGCACACTCCTGTAGTCCCAGCTACTCAGGAGGCTGAGGCAGGAGAATTGCTTGAACCTGGGAGGCGGAGGTTGCAGTGAGCCAAGGTTATGCCACTGCATCCCAGCCTGGGCGATAGAGTGAGACTCTGTCTCAAAAAAATAAAATTAAATTAAAAATAAATAAATAAATAAATAGAATTAGAAATTCTAACATGTTCTCTCAGTACCACAAGAAATTATTTGGAGAACCCACTAGAATACACACTTCTTGCTTGAGGAACCACTGGCCTCAGGACATAGGCTTAAAGTAAATCAACAAAAATTAACTACATACATATAAGCATATCTTCCTAATTTTTGCATTGCGTGACCTAACTATAATCTATAGCATATCTTTCCATGCCCAGATCTATTTCTGAACTGTTATATGACATCTCCACACAGTTCATACTTGCTTTGACTATGACCTAAATTCCTAGCCTGTTCCCTGGATAGTTTCTCAGTAGTGCAGGACTATAAATGCACAGTCACTGTGTGTACAAGTTATATGGGAATATAACAAGTTATGTGTTAATAAAAGTTATTTAGAAATAAAACGAAAATTATAAACAATTTGTACTAATACTATATTTTTTCTGTTATACAACATAGTGACATGAAAAACAAATATAATAATGGCTTAATTGTAAAGTATATAATAATAGTTTATCTGATTTGACCCTCCATATACTGTATGAGGGCCTTAAACCTCTTTCATGATACTTTCCATCTAATTATGGCTATTGTCAGGGTGTGTCTGATGTATGCCTCAGGAAACATCCTCAGTCACCAGCTGGTATTAATAGTTTTGTCTCTCTGTTCTGATTCTTTTCATAATATTTGGAATTTTGTCTTCCACTACCTGTACAAGGGCAAGGCAACTCATCTGTTACTAAGAGATAACTTGGCCGGGCGCAGTGGCTCACGCCTGTAATCCCAGCACTGTGGGAGGCTGAGGTGGGGGGATCACTAGGTCAGGAGATCAAGACCATCGTGGCCAACATGGTGAAACCCGTCTCTACTAAAAATACAAAAATTAGCCAGGCATGGTTGTGGGCACCTGTAATCCCACCTACTCGGGAGGCTGAGGCAGGAGAATAGCTTGAACCAGGGAGTTGGAGGTTACAGTGAGCCAAGATCACACCACTGCACTCCAGCCTGGGCAACAGAGCAAGACTCCATCTCAAAAAAAAGATAGAGTTAACTTGAATTTACTTAAATCATAACTTGGGGGAATTTTACCATTAAATCATTATACAATATTTTTATTACTCTGTTCAGAGTAATATACCAGAGTAAGTACCATTTTATAAGCTTCTATAGTTCAATGGCATCTCCATGAAACTTATATAAGTAGCTTTTAATTAAAAATTAAAGTTTTTTTCAGAAAGAATTTTTTTGTTAATTGGTCATTATCCATTTATTGATTTCTTATGGCATGTTCAGCTTTATTCATAAAATAGGCATCATCTAAAAGAATTGTAAGCATGAATTCCTTTTCAGTGTGTGGGCAGTGTAATTGGAGAGCCAAGAGAAATACAGAGGAAATTACTGATGCCAAAAATACATAAAATGTAATAGAGAAAATAGAATTGGAAACTCTTCTTGGTATACTCTCTTTCTTCATACTGAATCACATGGCTCGCTATCAGTTCAAATAGGAATTTTTAAGGAAGTCCTTTATGGATTTCACCTCACTCCAATGTGTCCACACTCAGTGCTTTCTCAGGATAAAGAAACTCAATTCTATTACATAATTTTGTAAATTGTTTTCTTTTTCTTTGCCCACCATATTCTCATAAGGACACCTTAAGCTCCTCAAAAGCACAAAACGCAAATTCTATTTCTTTGTCAACCCTCTCTCTAGTAAAGTTCTAGGTAAAGAATAAATGCATGACTGATTGTTTTAATGAGCGCTAATGGGTGTTGTTAAATCCCTTACTATCTGAGGAGATCGTTGCTTATGGCAGCCCCTGTGATTTTAAAAGCTCTTCCATGTTGGAATAAAGGCAAAATACAGTGATTTCAAAGAACTGGGGAGAGAAATTTTAAGATTTCCTTTTGGGAAAATTTCAGGCAAAAAATTACATCTTATAATCCATTCCAGGCTTTTGATTGTATGATTACCCCATTTACAATTGATGTTGAAAATAATATTTTCTCACTTGCCACAGCCTCTTCTTTGCATTCTCTCACCCTCAGCTATTATATATTAGCTCAGTACCTGCATTATTTACAGGAACTGAAAAACAGGGTTGAAGATTATAAAATCTCACATTTGCTGACTTTTATGCAGGTTAAATGAAAGAGTTTTATAATTGTTTCTGCCAACCAGTAGGTTCAAAATGTTTATTAAAAGTGAATTCTGGATAAATTATGATTAATGTCCTTCTGGTTTGTTTTGCTTGAGCCTACACACACACACACACACACACACACACACACACACACATATACACACACATATATATATAACTTTATATAAAACTATAAATACTAGGAACTAGCACTAGAACTGTACTTTTCACTACAGTATCAGTAAAAAAAAAAAATTTAGGATTTTTTATGACTGATTTTACATTTAAACCTAAAGGAAAAATAATCAGGAACAACACAGAGTTTTTTTTTTTAAATGAGTTGGCAAAGAAAATACCAAAGGCTCAAACCTGACAAAAGCATTGAGAATACCAGAAAAGAAATTTTAACCTTTAAATTTAATTGAAACATGATATTTTTCTCTTTTGAAACATTTCTTTCTCTACAAAAATCTGTTCCTTCAGAACCTGTTGATGCAATAATATTATATCATTTTTTTTTACTGGTCAATGTATTTATTTGTAATTGTTCTGAAATTGTTTCCTGCAAGGTTTTCTATTACTCAAACTGTCTTTGTACACATAATTTTCCTTTCATGCCATTTATGAACCATTTTTTATTTCTATGGTTGATAGAGAATGACTTCATAATTCATTTCTGAATAAGTGAAATAATTTAAAAACATTTTAAAGTGGGTGTATCTACTTGCTTGGAGCTTTGTCGAATCATGTTTCTTATTTGGAGCCTCTGGAGGAATGTTGACTTACCATGGTAAAAATTAACTGGTGAAACTCTAAAGAAAACACAGACTCTACACGCAGTCTTGTCCGAAACTTACTCACCCTGAAACCAATGAATTTCAAAGACCTAGATACTTCCTTCTGTGATGTCCCCTGAGATCAGAGAATAAAAGAAAAATCCCTCGTAAATATACATCACGTACAGCTGTTTGATTTATGCATTATGCAGAAACTAAGAAAACAGAGTTATATGTAACCTTGCAATGAGAAGTGCACCCACCAAAAAAAAAAAAAAAAAAATCCCAAAACATTGTTTCAAAAAGAAGTGGTATGAAGCATCTTAGTGTTTCATGAATATTGAAGAATAGTGCAATTATTGAAATTTGGCATTTAAAAAATGTTTTTAAATTATTAGGAAGCTACCGTGACCTGTTTACTAAATCCTCAATTCTTTCTCTCTCAGTTTTTCTTACTATAAAATTTACTTTTCAAGCCAGAGAATTTTTCTTTCTGACAAGACGTAGATCTATATTGCGCTGTCAAGATGCAGCTTTTGCATCTCTGCTGCCATGTGGATAGAATAACTTTCTTTCCTCAAGAAGTGGACAAGCCCTCATAGGGACTGATTTTCTGTGAAGTAGTGAGACTTAATCTTTGGGACCTTCACTTACATCACTTACATAGGACCTTTCAATACTCAGGGAGGGCCCTTGGCAATAAGTTCTTCTGACAATATATCTTGTGCTGATGGTGGTGTTAGCTTTCAAAATTTGTAATTATTTTGGTAATTTCTGTCATCCTAGAAAAATGTGTATAGTGTATTTGTTCCTAATTTCATTTTCATTATTTATATATTTTTTAATGAACACCCCCAGCATAGTATAAGTTTTATACCTCTACAATCTGAATCACCCGCTTGGCCCATGCCTAGGACTAGGTCTTATCATCCGCAGTGAGAGATTATAGGCTCTTACTAGGAATTTATGGTAACATGGGCTCCTAACAGTCATGATTTTTATAACATGATTGCCTATGTATATAAAGTCCACTGGCTGAACAAGTATTTTCCCTCAAATCAGGAAGGAAAAAAAAAAACACGAAGCAAATTGATCCTCTTCTAAAAGCTGTCACATCAGTAACCCATCATATTCTCATTTACTTATATACTGAGTAGGTAGTCACCTTTGATTCATATCTCTCAGGAGTTCAGAAGTTTTTGAAAGTAATTTGTGATACAAAATATAGGGAAATTCAGAATGAGATTCTTTTGGCTTGTCTTTCTTTTTCTTTTTTTCTTTTTTTTTTTTTTATTTGTTGAACTCAAATCCGGAAATTGTGGAGGTTACTAGAACTCTAAGTCACAGACTTATAAGTACTGAAAAAGTAGTCAGTAAAGAAAACATACAGTAAGAGACTAGGTTAATTTTCCTATAGTTCATTGATGTTTCCACTATTACTGCCCCTGATTTTTAACTTTAGTTTTCCTTAGATTGTTGGAGTAATATATGTACCTTAAAAATTAACTGTGGAACAAGTAGATGAACTTTTTACACAATTTCCTGCTTTTATAAAGTTCCTACTAGCTATATTTTCCCAAAAGTGCTCAACAATAGAGTCTGGTGCTAAAAAGCAGAGTAGGCTAAATTTAGATCAATGTGAAATGCCCTACTTATTTCCTATGAACTTAATTGATTGAGCTCATTTTGGGGGTGTCTTTCTGATCGACCAGAAACTTGGCTCATTAGAGCAACTCACAAAGTGACCTTTTAAAAGAAAGAGTTTTCAATATATTTGTTCATGTTCCATTCCACTGAGAATGGTGCTATTTAAAACTAAATACAATAATTTTAGATATTGTACAGCAGATATAATTTTAAACATAATACATGGGATTTCGATTTTAGGTACTGTTTATAAGGCATTTCTCCTTATATTATTCTAGACTTAAATATAACAAATTTCATGCAGAGGTTTCTTTCAAAAGTAAATTCAGCCACATTTAGACTCAAATATTCCCTAATTTTTTAGTGTAGCTGAAGTCCTAATAATATACTTGTGTTTCTTTTAAATTAAGTCCCACATGTTAACTTTACAACAGAAAGTCCATGTATCGTATTATTAGTCTAAATCTTCATTTTACTGTTTAGTTAACACAGACATTCATTTAACACACTATGTTTAATTTCCCACTCAGTTTTGGCTTATTGTAGTCTAATAAACAATGATTAAACAATGCCCCACTTAATGCAGGTTGAGAAATAAGTGAAACTATGACATGGAAAAATATTACAATAAGCGAAAAATATTACAATAAAGGAAAAAATAATGGAAGAATATCAGTATTTGATGCTATTATACGTGACCATATTGTTTAGCAAACTACTTCAAAAATGAAATTAGGAATTTCAGAGAATCATTTTATTCTCATATCAGAATGCTTGGAAAAGTGAGGGCTAAATGTATTTGTTATTTGACTGTGTACATTATGCCCATGGAATAGCATTTTGGAAGACCCAACATTAAGCTAGCTTTACATAACAATGAGTATGTCATGTTAACTTATGATACACTTTAATCCTGGCTTGACTCTGGTAGCTGTGTGACTATAATCTTTCAGGCCTCCATTTACTTATCCAGAAAGTGGAAATAATAATATGTAATTAATAGATGCCTGGTGAATATTAAATTCATTAATATTTGTCAACTATTTTTCACAGACTTTTCATTTAGTTAAGTACACAATAATAAGTAAGCACTCATATATGAATGTGTGTACATATTTATCGTAAACAGATCCTCAGTAATTAGTGTAGAAATAAATGTTCTAGACAATCCAAAGTTATTTAAAGTTTTTCAGAAAGCTACCCTTCTATCATCTGGGGTAATTTTTTTTGTCATTTTGGCAAATATGTAGAGAATATATGTGAGTCTTCCTATTAGTCTGAAGTAAGCAAAACTATAAAGGCACATTTATCGAGGTGGAATGTGAAAAACAACAATCATTTTAACGTAAATCTATGATACTTTGGTCTCTTCCAGTGTCCAGGTAACTTATGCCACAACTTTCTTCTATCTTTGTTAATAATACAGTGTGTTTTATACCTGTGGGCACTAACATTTTGTTACTATTTGTAGTAATGCTACTGCATTACTGATATGAGAATAAAATGATTCTCTGAAATTCCTAATTTCATTTTTGAAGTAATTTGCTAAACAATATGGTCACGTATAATAGCATCAAATATTGATATTCTTCCATTATTTTTTCCTTTATTGTAATATTTTTCACTTATTGTAATATTTTTCCATGTCATAGTTTCACTTATTTCTCAACATACTATGTATCCATGAATGTCCTGAAGGGAAAAAAAAATCTCATATATACCTAACTGATGTGCTTGACATATAGTAAGTTGTCCATAAGTATTTGCTGGTAGATTTATTTATTTTTTAAAAAAACAACTTGGAAAGTTTTCTGTGTGCTTTTATATTAGAACTTGACCTTTGAAGTACCTCCAGGAAATTTTGAAGAGTGCTGGCATATGACAATGCGTAAGTTTATATTTCATGTCCATGCATGCCATTAAAATTCTAATAATGTAGTTGACAGAGCCTTTCTTGTCCCTTAAGCACTAAATTTGTGGCTTGCTCTAGATTGTCCCACCTGGCACAAGCGAGGTGAAATTTCAGGTCTAGCCAACTTTTTTCTTTTTTTTTTTTTAACAAGTATTAAAAACATTTTCATATATATTCCCTGTATTATTTCACCTATTTTTGTGTGTGTGTTTCTATCACACTGCCACATCAAAAACCTCTTCTTGAACGACTATAGTATAGTGGTTAATAGTTCAGTGTCTAGATCAAGACCACCTATGGACGTATCTTGGCTCTGATTTTACCAGCCGTACAATCCTGGAGAATCTGTTCAAGAGAAATGTGCCTCAATTACGTATCTCTAAAGTAGTTGTAGCTATAGAACCTGTTCCATAGATGTGGATCAGAACACTGCATGACATTTAGAAAATGTTTAATAAATGATGTTGCTGTACTTGTTGCTGTTATTGTTGCTCTGTCATGTTAGGAGAACTCTCATTTACCCTAGTGTTCTCTCAAAGTGAAATACAGATCATTACCTCTTGAAATCATGTCCAAGTAACTTCAGAATTATTTAGAAATCATTTATCTAAATCAGAGTATTTCTTGATATAATTTAAAGTTGATTGTATTTGAAAGTACATATGTCAATCTAGTATGAGATAATCTCAAGGAAATAAAAATGTATAGGTCTAATTTACATTTTTATATGGAAGGAGATAATTACTTTCTATCACAAATGATGAAGGCTGACGTTTGTTTCTTTTTTACTTTTAATTTTCACTTATATTTTGTTTATTATCAATATTTGCTTTTTAAAAGGTGGGAAGAAATCAACCAATCAAACATTAAAAAGCAATATGGAGGAGGGTGATATAATGCCCACTTATATTTCTCTTATAATTTTAAATATTTTCATAATTAACAGAATAATTAGCACTGGTAATATTAAAATACCATCAAAAGAATCTAAATGTATGTGCTTTCTGTTGCAGCCTTGTTAGATGTTTCAGTGGATTCAAAGTGTTGTTATAAGAAAACGTGATTTATCAAGACTTTCATGTGTAAAATAAAAGGCATTTTCAATGACTACTTGGCCAGGCTTTCAGATTCCAATGCCAAGATGTTGTATTTTGATATTGCAGTTTTCTAACAACAACAAAGTTGAGTGGACTTCTGGAACTAAAACTTAAATATTCAGAACTAATTATCACCACTCTATTTCTTACAGAGCATTTAAGGAACACATATATGCATATATCCTTGCACTTTGTGCTACAGGTTGTGAGCCAGGGTTACTTCCTTCTGACCATGTGGGTTCATAATGAAGACCCAACCTTAAGGTACCCAGGGCTTAGAAATCAAATTTGTCCTTAGGACACTTTGGAAATCTATCTTGTAGTACAGGTGACCCAGCAGCAATCAATCTTTCTGCCATCCCTAGTTTTAGTTCAGGACCCAGAAAAGTTGTAACTTGTTTCCTTTCCTGTGATCAAGCCTTTGTTTTCTCTTTTTTTCTCCACTTTTTGTAGCTTTTTAATTTGTTTCTCTGTTGATTACTAGCCCAATGCCTGAGCATCTTCGTCTTAAGACAAAGCCTCTGTGTTTCTTCAGCTCCTGAAATGACTGGCATGCTGAAAATGAGCTCAGGGCATTAGTCTTTGCTACTAAGCCACTACAGATTCCATTCCCTTTCTTCTTGAGTATGCACACACCGCTTGTTCACAGACTCCAGATTAGTTATTAAGCTACATCTGTATGCAGTTTGCACTCTCCTGCCTTCGACCTGCTTGTCCCAGAAGTTATTCACCATATTCTACCTTGATCATATTTTCTACTTGTCAATGCGCATGTCAATTAAGAACTTTTAACATTTATTGACCATTTATTATATACTAGCCAGTCTTTTAATTGATTTATGAACAATTAACTTAATCATCATATAAGCATAGTAGGGTACAATTAGTTCCCCAACTTTATATATGAACAAATGGACTTTCAGAAAGGTAAGGTAAAATATCCACGGTAAGAAAGCCTGCATATGTGGAACTGGGAATTGAACCCCTATGTCTGACCCGAGGGTCCATACACTTAAGCATTATGCTATCAAGTTTTCCACAGCCTGCTTTTCGGCTTCTCTCTCTTTCTTTCTTTCCTGATCTCTGTTGCAATTCCTACCTTTCAACTCCCTTCTGACCATGGATAGTTTGCAAAATGCCAGAGGTACGTCTCAAAGAAGCTTCAAATAGGAGCGTGTACTACCATTAAGTCAGCTCCTCAGTTGTCTTCTTTGGATTGAGAAGCACTTCATCACTTTTTACACAGGTTTAATTATCAAATATGACTTTTCTAGTACTACAGCTAATATATGTCAATGTCAAAGGGTTAACAGAATACTAGGCCTATATTAAATTATACATATGAGCTTTCTCTTTACTCCTTTTTATGTTCATTAGCAAACAGATAAAGCCATAATAGATTTTTTAAGGAATATTTTGTTTTGTTTTGTTTTGGACTTATACATCTATTAACAATAAACCAAACATTGCAGATTAAAGCAAATCTGCCAATCTGTTTTACAAACACTATCTTCTGAAGGGTTCCTGGGCACAAGATACTGTTCTAGTAATATTTCACAGCTTTTTTTTTTTTTTCATTTTAGAGAAAATATTCTAAGACTCCAAAGTTCGATAGTATTTGGTCAGTGTCTTAGTCAGTTTGAGCTAATATAACAAATTATCATAGAATAAGTGTCTCAAGCAACAGAAATGTATTTTTTACAATCTGGAGGCTGCAAAGTCCAGAATCAAGATGCTGGCAGATCTGGTGTCTGATGAGGACCCACCTTCTTATTTGCAAATGATCATTTTTGTTGTGTCCTCACATGACAAAGAGCAGAGAGAGCAAGCACTCTTGTGTCTCTTCTTTTTTTTTTTTTTTTTTTTGAGACGGAGTCCGGCTCTTTAGCCCAGGCCGGATTGCAGTGGCACAATCTCGGCTCACTGCAAGCTCCGCCTCCCAAGTTCACGCCATTCTCCTGCCTCAGCCTCCCGAGTAGCTGGGACTACAGGCACCCGCCACCACGCCCGGCTAATTTTTTGTATTTTTAGTAGAGATGGGGTTTCACCGTGTTAGCCAAGATGGTCTCGATCTCCTGACCTTGTGATCCGCCCGCCTCGGCCTCCCAAAGTGCTGGGATTACAGGCGTGAGTGTCTCTTCTTATACAGGCACCAATTTCATCAAGAAAGTTCCACCTTCATGTCCTAATTAACTCTCAAATGCCCCATCTCTAAATACCGCCACATTCGGGGATTAGGATTTCAACATATGCATTTTGGTGGGATACAAACATACAGTTCATAGCCACCAATACCTTTGTTGTATTTTCACAAAAATGATGTCTAAACAATAAATGTTCAATTACTCATGCAATCTTAAACAAAGGGTTACTATTAGGAAAATGAGTTAATTCCTTAGAAATTTTTCTTTTGGAGATTATTGGAGATGTGAGGTGATGAAGTGTAAGTGACTTGGTGTTATTAAGAAGGACACCCCTGCAGGAGATAACATCCCTTAGTTCTAGTATCTATTCTATCAAAAATCCTTTAGTTCTATTATTCTGTCATTGACAGAACAATTGTCTCTAATATCATCAAAGTTCTTTAACAACTATGAAATGTGACAATAGAACTAAATAATTTCAGAATGCTTTTCCAGGACCAAATTATATTTTCTTGATAGCATAAATAGCAGAGAACAATTTTAATTATAACACATAGTCAATATTGTTTTGTTCTTTGTTAGGAAAAATGTTGACTATTAACATGACTTCTCTGTACTTGCCTTAGGAATGTTTCTAAATGAAATATGCCTCATGTTGGTATTTAAATATCTTTATCAATTATTTTATTTCAAAAGCAAGAACTTGTGTCCTTACTCTTCAGAAAGTTTTATGTTTTCAATTTAATCTCCTACTGCTTAATATTTTCAGATAAAATGCTCACTGGCTTTAGAAATCATTCATTAAATACAGGGGACAAGAAGTGGCATTAGAGGGCAGATTGTGTTGTGATTGTTTTACTTTTGATTTCTTCTTTTAGCCTCCTAAGAAAGACTCTGTAGCCCATGGCTTCTGTTAATACTATATAGCAGGAGTCAGTTTTTGCATTATTGGTGTTAGTGATGAGTGATACATCTGACAAAGGTTAGGATGCTTTTAGAACCATTTGACAGCAATGACCGCTGAAGATAGAAGTGGTTTTCCACTAATTTTTCTGGAAATAGAGCAGTGATATCTTTGTTCAGGAGTTTACATTTGACTTAGAAGGCCTTTATCCCATTTGCGTCTGTCAATAGTTTACTTATTTTCTGAAATGCTGTATAAATAGTATTCTTTCCCTTTAAAATTTCTCCAGTTGGAATTAAAATCTTTTTTTGTGTGTGGGATTAAAGGGAAAAAAAACTATAACAGCCATTCAATTGTAGTCCTATGAGAGTAAATTCTGTAATATATTTTTGACTTATGCTTGTATAAATTCTTATCTTGTCTCTGCTTGTCAGTAAAGGAGGGCTGACAGCAGGAGTCATAGATTGATGGATTCTATACCCCCAAAATGCCTAGAGCAGTGCAATTAGTATGATGTTAACTTGTTCAGTATGAGTTAGATTGGATTGAAATGA